>NC_000013.11:90192372-90495403 GCF_000001405.40 Homo sapiens | reverse complement strand
TACAATCCCTGAGCTAGACATGAAGGTTCTCCAAGGCCCCACCAGAGTAGCTAGATACAGAGTGTGGATTGGTGCATTCACAGACCCTGAGCTAGACACAGGGTGCTGATTGGTGTATTTACAATCCCTGAGCTAGACATAAAGGTTCTCCACGTCTCCACCAGACTCAGGAGCCCAGCTGGCTTCACCCAGTCGATACCCCACTGGGGCTGCAGGTGGAGCTGCCTGCCAGTCCCGCGCCATGCGCCTGCACTCCTCAGCCGTCGATGGGACTGGGCGCCGTGGAGCAGGGGGTGGTGCTCGTCGGGGAGGCTCCGGCTGCACAGAAGCCCATGGAGGGTGTGGGAGGCTCAGGCATGGCGGGCTGCAGGTCCCAAGCCCTGCCCCGCGGGAGGGCAGCTAAGGCCCGGTGAGAAAACCAGTGCAGCGCCGGCGGACTGGCACTGCTGGGGGACCCAGTACACCCTCCGCAGCCGCTGGCCCGGGTGCTAAGCCCCTCATTTCCCGGGGCCGCCCATGCCTACCCGGAACTCCAGCTGGCCCGCAAGCGCCACGTGCAGCCCCGGTTCCCGCTGGCGCCTCTCCCTCCACACCTCCCTGCAAGCTGAGGGAGCCGGCTCTGGCCTTGGCCAGCACAGAAAGGGGCTCCCACAGTGCAGCGGTGGGCTGAAGGGCTCCTCAAGTGCCGCCAAAGTGGGAGCCCAGGCAGAGGAGGCGCCGAGAGCGAGGGAGGGCTGTGAGGACTGCCTGCACGCTGTCACCTCTCAGTTTTACTTGTGATCCCACAGAGCTTCTTATGAAATACTTATACAAAGATAGATGTTTCAGGATAAATAAAACCTTTATCTCTTCTACATAACTAACATTCTATTAAAAAAATCCTTTATCACTTCAACGATTGCAAAAACTAACAAAGTCATTGTTACATTTTGAAGAGTGGCCATGCATTATAATTCAGTATTGTTTCTTAGTTTAACATCAATAAAATAATTTAAAATGAAAATTTAGAAGATGAACACAGTTCGGCAGTCTGTGTTCTATCAAACTATCAAAAAGTAGATCTTAGTAGTGATGGCAGAAAGATAGCCAAACAGGAAATCTCAGGCTCTACTTGGCCCACAGAAAGTTTAACTGGCAAATATCCACAAACTGGAACATCCTTTGAAAACCCCTACACCTGGAAACCAGCCTGAGATACCAGCAAGGGATGTAGAATTGAATGAAATCTGAATCAGAAGGGTAAGAAGAATGGTCTCACTCCACCTGGGCTTCCCCCTTCCCCTTCCCCAAGTTGGCACAGCAGATGGAGATGGTTTCCCTGCACTCACAGTTTCTACCAGGAAAAAAGAGAATAAGAGGTAGTCATTCAGTTTCCCTAACGTTCTAAGATGCTACTCAGGAAGTCAACTCTGGTTTCACCTCATGGGGAATACTAGGAGAAATGGCATGGCTTGACTGCCCTAGGGTCAGGCAGAAACAAAGAAAATTACTGATGCACAGATCTTGGTGGTACCTCTGTTTTCCTGACAGCTGTGCTGCTCGATCAGGGATATCAGCAAACCTCATAGCACAACCACAAAGTTAATAAGCTGGTTCCCTTCAGAAGCACAGTGGGAAGTACAATTTAACTTGAGCCCCTAGACTACTAGTCTCTGGGCTCAGCCTTAGAACCCACATCAACAACCCTGCCTAGTCAGGGAAACACAGCTTCACCTATTTGTGAGAAGAGAAGAGGTAGATTGGGCCTGACCAGGGAAAACAAGTAGCAGCTCCACACAGCCAAAAAGCCCACACAATGACTCCAACCAGGAAGGAATATTTCCACCTTTCTATATTTTGGAGAAACACAGCAAGGGCTAGTCTTACTTTATCCGGAAAGTCAATAAGACACTAAACTCAGTTAGAAGCCCACTTCATGGCTCTACCCAGATAGGGAGAAAAATCTTCAGCTTTATGTAAGTAGTGTATTTCAGCCTCAGGTCTTACCTGTCCAGGGTGGTGACCCTGCCTAACTTCAGAGTCTAACATGCAGTCTTGTCTAACTGTAGATTCCAAATAGCAGAATTTTCCAGCCAGGAATACATCTTATGACTGAATTGACCAGAAGCCATTGTATTATCTAGCCAGTAGTTTCATCTGACAGAAAATCCCAGACAGTGGTCTCGTTGGTCAGTAAAACCAATCAATAGCCCATTCTGACATCAGAGCAAAGGCAGTGGATCAGCCAACTAGAGAACTCACAGCAATTTCTACCTGCCTGGGGTTTTCACTATCTAGCCCTTCCAGAATCACAGGCTAGACTAAATATGTGAAGCTCTGGACTGGGTGTGGTGGATCATGCCTATAATCCTTGCCCTTTTGGAGGCAGAGGTGGGAGAATTGCTTGAAGCCAGGAGTTTAAGACAAGCCTGGGCAATAAGATAAGACTCTGTCTCTACAAAAAAGAAAAATAAAAAAAATTAGCCAGACACGGTGATGTGCACTTGTAGTCCCACCTATTCAGGAGGCTTAGGAGAGTAGATTGCTTGAGTCCCAGAAGTTTGAGGCTGCAATGAGATATGGTTGACAGTGTACTTCAGCCTGAATGTCATAGCAAGACTCTGTCTCAAAAATGAAAATAACAAAATAGTGATGCTTTGTTCCTGCCAAAGAACTCCTGTAAAGGCCAAAAAACAAAGCTATCTCCTAAAATGTGCAGACAACAACATAAAAACACAAGGATTACAAAGAATCAGGGAATCATGACACTTCAATAAAAAATAAATAGACTCCAATCATGAACCCCAAAGAAATGAAGATTTGTGAAATAACTGAAAAGAATCAGAATAATACTCATAACGTAGTTCAGTGAATGACAAGAATATGCAGATATAAAATTTAATAAAATTTGGCAAACAATAAAATAAAAGATAGAAAACCAACAAAAAATAGAAACAATAAAAAGAGCAAAGTAGGAATTCTAGAGACAAAAAACAATGACTGAACTAAAAATTTCAACAGAAAACTTCAAGAGAAGACTGGGTTGATCAGTCAGAAGAAACAGTGAGCTGGACAGAACATCCAGTCACTGGAGAAAAAAGACAAAATAAAGAAAAAGAATGAAGACAGCCTATGGGAATTATGGGACACAATCAAGAGACTAAACTTTTGCATAATAGAATTTGTAGAATGAGAACAAAGAGGAAAAGGGCCAGAAAGCACATGTGAAGGAATAATGGCCAAATACTTCTTTAATCTGTGAGTAGGTGCCAACATTAAGTTATAGGAAGCACAGTGATCTCCAATAAAATCCACCCAAAAGAGAAGTACACCAAGACATAATAATCAAACTATTAAAAATCTAGGACAAATGAAAAATTCTGAATGCAGCAAGAGATAAGAAACATATCATATACAAGAAGGTCCCAACATGAGTATCAGCAGAATTCTCAGCAGAAATCCTATAGGCTAGGAGAGAGTGGGATGATATATTCAAAATGCTGAAGGAAACCTCTGAACTAAGAATACTTTATCCAACAATTTTTTTTTTTAGAAATAAAGCAAAGGTAAAGATTTTTATAGAAAAACAAAATCTAACAGAGTTTAGTTTATCATCATTAGACCTGTGTTACAAGAAATGATGAAGATAGTTCTTCAAGCTGAAATAAAAGAATTCTATTGATTTTAAAAAATTAAAATGTATAAAATGTAACAGTAAGTACTCAGTCAGATTCAGAATAATACTGTAACAATTATGTGTTAATTATGTATATCTTTAGCCATTTTGGAAAACAGTAGGGAGGCACCTCAAAAAACTAAAAATAGAATTACCATATGTTCCAGCAATGTCACTATTGGGTATATATTCAAAGGAGTTAAAATCAATATGGCCAAGAGATGTCTGTGCTTTCATCTTCCTTGCAGCATTATTCACAATTGCTGATATATGGAAATAATCTAAGTGTCTATCCATGGATGAATATATTTTTTAAATGTATATAGACACAATAAAATATTATATAGTCTTACAAAAACAGGAAATTCTGTCATTTGTGACAACAACAATAAACCTGGAGGACATTGTGTTAAATGAAACAAACTAGGCACAGAAAGACAAATACTGTATGATCTCACTTATATGTGAAATCTAAACAAAACTGAACTCACAGAAGTAGAGAGTAGAATGGTGGTTACCAGAAGCTGGGAAGCTGGGTGGAAGGGCAAAGAGGAGATGATAGCTAATGAGTACAAAGTTACAATTAAATAGGAGGAATAAATCTGGCGTTCCATGGCAAAGAAGAGTGACAGGTAAAAATCATGAATTGTGTATTTCAGAATAGCTGTAGGAGAGGATTTTGAATGTTATCACCAGAAAGAAATGATAAATGTTTGAAGTGACAAATATGCTAATTGCCATGATTTGATCATTACAAAATATATACATGTATGAAAACATCATATTGTATTCCAAATATGTACAATTAGTATTTTTCCATCAAAAATAAAATAAAACCAAAAAGTCTGAAGTAAACATTAAGATTTGATTTATTATTTTTTTTAAATTTTATTTTTCATGGATGGATACTAATTGTATGTATTATACTCTACATCTAAGGACATGCAGAGGGCAGAAAAACTATGCCAGAGAGCAATTTTCTATAAATTAGAACACGGTAATACCTTGCATACGTTTGTATATTTTGTTACATGCATTCTCCACATAGATGAAGCAACAGACTGAAATGCAGTTTTTGAATAATACATGCTCTTTAAAGAACTTCCAAACAATGCAGCAAAAAGGCATGAAATTAAAGTTGTTTACCAAATGAGAGCATGCAGTTTGCATCTGTTTTATATTCTTTGAGCATTTTAATTTTGAAGCTATACATATACAATAGTTAATTACAGATGGCAAAACCTAATCAATCAGCCAGCTGTTTTGATTGTACTGTGCCAGGTAGCTGCTTTCACGGATTTGTGTTCCACTTAATTTAAAAGGCTTCTGTAAACAGATATAAATATATACTTTGTGAATGTATGTGTGTGTATATGTGCTTTAACTTCACAAGTTACTAAAGGTGTTATCACAGTCTTAGACTAAACAATGTGTTTCAAAAATGAAAAATTTAGAAATGTTTCTTAACTTGTATAATTAAAAATAACCACGCCGATTGAATTATTATGATTCTCCTAGTATTGTTGGTTAATTGAGCTATTGTTTGGTAATATTGCTAAATACGGTTCAGATGACTGGGTCTGAAGTTGTGTTGATGACGTAAGTTAAGAAGTGGGAAGAAACAACCTGTTTTCATTTTCACTTCATTTTACAAAGGATTTTTAGGTATTATACATAAAACATATTAGCTGAAGCAATAAATTATTGTAAAGATATATATGCATTATATATTTTTGCATAAATATAAACTATATAAAACAGTTTTATGAAATATATTAAACAAAATTATGAATCACAACAGAAAAATCTAATGGGAATTATAGAGTTGTAAGAGGGGCGAATATGTGATTAAATCACATTGGCTTCTAAATATTGCATTCAAAACTTTTCACTGTTCCATGGTTTTATTTTAAAAACCGTAGCCACGTTTTCTTGTGCACGTTACAAAAAACATATTTTTTGGAGGGCTCTATATTCTGCAAGAAATTTTTCACATAGCACTTTATACAGAGGCATGAGCAATTTATTTCATGGGGTCCTTTCTAGATCCATTACATGACAAAAATCTGATTGGAAAATGTTGGAATTGATTATTTTAATTGACAAGTCCTTCTTAAAAATTAAAGCAAACACAAGCACTTCAAGGAATTAGTGGAGTCCTACACCTGTTCAGTGGTTTACTTGAAACAGCAATGTACCTAGTGGATGAACAATAAATAGAACCCAGATTTGGTAATCCACATTCTGTGCTTTCCCTGGATTGAGTGTGTGAGACAGTATAGAATCTTAGAACAAACATAGACTCTGGATGCACAGGCAAGAAATAAAACCCTTTGCTTGCCCTATTTTTTTTTTTTGTGACGGAGTTTCACTCTTGTTGCCCAGGCTGGAGTTCAATGGCACGATCTCAGCTCACCGCAACCTCCACCTCCTGGGTTCAAGCGATTCTCCTGCCTCAACCTCCCGAGTAGCTGGGACTATAGGCATGCACCACCATGCCCAGCTAATTTTGTATTTTTAGTAGAGAGGGGTTTCTCCGTGTTGGTCAGGCTGGTTTCAAACTCCTAACCTCAGGTGATCTGCCCACCATGGCCTTCCAAAGTGTTGGGATTACAGGCGTGAGCCACCACACCTGGCCCCATCTTGCCTGATTTTTTAAGTTTTGGGTTTTTCTTTAAAAAGTTTTTATAATTTCTATTTCTGTATTAGTCCATTTTCACACCACTACAAATATACCACCTGAGACTGCATAAGTTATAGACAAAGGAAGCTTAATTGACTCACAGTTCCACATGCCTGGGGAGGCCTCAGGAAACTTATAATCATGGTGGAAGGGGAAGCAGGCACCTTCTTCACAAGGCAGCAGGAGAGCAAGAGCCAGTGAAGGAGGAATGTCAAACGCTTATAAAACCATCAGATCTTGTGAGAACTCACTCACTATCACAAGAACAGCATGGAGAAACCACTCCCATGATCCAGTCACCTCCCTCCATCAACACATGGGGATTACAGGTCCTTTCCTACACAAGTGGGGATTACCATTTGAGATGAGATTTGGGTGGGGACACAGAGCCAAACCATATCAATCTCACAGGAGTTTTTGTAATGAGTAAATAATATAGTTTGCCCTAAAGAACTAGCATGTGCCTGACAAGAGGAGCTGCTATTATTTTTTTAAAAGAATTTGAATATTTAATAGATTGAGAGAGATGGATAGGTTATAAAAGAATTTTCTAAAACTTAATATTATGTTTTGAAACTCAATATCATAGACGGTTGTTGTAGATGGTGTTCATCCTAGCAAATGCCTCTATTACTAGAAATGATTACCTCAATCACATGCTTGACTTTTGTTTCTATTCAATCAGAAGTGTCCTGTTTGTGTCACAGAGATAAATGGAGGTCTCCTCTCCAAGATGTGATTGTGGTCACTTTATGTGACGGGCTTCTGGAAGGAAATAAAGGAAGAAAATGGCAGAAGCAAGGAGAGAAGCTTCTCCAGTCTCTGCTTTCTGTCTTCTTCTTTCTGCCCAGAGTGCTCAGCAGGCCAGTGCCTAGATTCCCAGTGATATATTCATGCAATTAAAATTGTTTACCTTGGTATGGGTCATTAATGATCTTGTATAGCTCTGTAAAAAATTAGTGAGGTAAAGGTAAAAAAAAATGGAAATGAAGTATATGCACTGAGAGCGGTCATGTAAAACCATGTTTTTAAATATGTTTAGATCAACTTTTTTCCTTTGTTTTGCTCTTGTTATTGAAACATTTGCTTTTAACCCTGATGGCCTAGTTAAATATGTGCAAAAAAAAAAGAGACTAAAGCAAACTATTCACTTTACTGGCTACCACTCTGATATCATTCTCCTACTTAAAATTGGGTCAGCCTTCAGTGCCCAGCAAATTAAAATAGCCCTTTAAAATCCAAATCCTCATTAATTTTCTTAAAAGAAAATCAGGTAAACTCTTCCTTTGCTTAATGTGAAAATTAAGAATATTTTATCTTTTTTTTGTTTGTTTTTGTTTTTGAGACGGAGTCTTGCTCTGTCGCCAGGCTGGAGTGCAGTGGTGTGATCTCAGCTCACTGCAACCTCTGCCTCCCGGGTTCAAGCGATTCTCCTGCCTCAGCTTCCCCAGTTGCTGGGATTACAGGTGCGCACCACCACGCCCAGCTAATTTTTGTATTTTTAGTAGAGACGAGGTTTCACCATGTTGGCCAGGATTGTCTCGATTTCCTGACCTCGTGATTCACCCGCCTCAGCCTCTCAAAGTGCTGGGATTACAGGCGTGAGCCACCACACCTGGCCTTATCACTGTCTTTGAATATTTTTCCTCCTTATTCACATAGGTACAGTCTTTGGAAATTATAAAAATATGCATACATATGCAGTATTAGTTTTAACCTAATTGCATTTTGTATACACATAAATTACCTATTCCTGCATAGCAAATTACTTGAAATCAGTGACTTAAAATAGTACACGTTTATTGTCTCATAGTTTCTGGGGATCAGGAATTCAAGAGCAGTTAAATTGGGAAGTTCTTGCTCATGGGCTGTCATGAACTTCAAATCAAGCTGTTGGTCAGAGCTGCAATCTTTTCACGGCTTGTCTGGGGCAAGACCTGCTTCCAAGGTCACATAAATCCTGACAAGCCCCAATTCCTTACCTTGCCTCTCTGTAAGCTGCCTGAGGATCTTCACACGATGGCAGCTGGCTTCCCCCCAGAGCCAGACATTGAGACAGAAAGAGAGAGAGAAATCATCATGGGAAGCTATGGTATTTTTAGTATCCCATCATTAGAATATGACGATATTCTCTTCTTTAGAGTAAGTCACTGAAACCAGCCTACCCTCAAGTGGAAGCAAGTTAAGTTCTATGCCTTGAGGAAAGAAGTATCTGGCAGTTTGTGGACGTATCTTTAAAACTACCGTGATGTATTGATCTGAAGAATTTATTCACGTGTATATTCTATATATTTATAAAAAATAATAAAATTATGTAAGCACTGTTACTAAAACCTACAAAATGAGAGATTTGTTATAGAATGCAAAGTTAAAGCTAGACTGAAGGAATAAGTTTCAGTGTTCTATAGCACTATAAGATGACTACAGTTAATAGTAATATATAATTTCCGATAGCTATAGGATGACAATGCACATTCCCAAAACAAGTAATATAAGTTTGAGATGATTGATATGCTAATTACTCTGATCTGATCACTATACATTATACGTTTGGAAATATCACTATGTACTCGATGAATATGTACAATTATAATTTGTGTCAATTTAAAAATATAATTTAAAAAAATTCAAAAGAAAATGAAACCAAAACAAGTACATTGCTTTCACATATAGTACTGCAAGGAATTAAAACAACCTGAATTCAGCAATGTCCTGATTATCTAATAAACTTTGTGCTAGCTCATTTATTAGCAGTATCTGTCCAATGACCCACAGATATAAAGAACTCAGATGTTATGTTAATTATATTCATATATGCATCGAATCAAGAAGTATCTGAGCCAAGACTTCTCCCTTCTCACCTCAGTTTTTGAGAACATTGTTCTTTAAAGTAATAGATAATTTCCCCTAGTTTTCTGGTACCAACGTTTTCATTAATTATCTGTATAATTGGATAACTCATTTACTATCCATTCCTGCCTTAAGTATCTGTGAAACATTCATTTTAGAAGTACAAATAGTGGAGGTGTGAGAGGTCACTTTTCCTTATCTTCCATATTGGAGCAAATATTCAGGACTGATAGGGATACAGACACTCATAGTAGCCTAATGCACCAACACCCTTCTGCCTTTTGTTCTCAACTTTTTTTCATTCTGTGTGAAGCAGCCTGATGTTTACATTTTTGTGTTACATTCAAATGTTTATGGGGAAAAAAAGCTTTAATATTGGATCTCTTCTATTTGCAACTTCTTAGACTTTCTCTCTTTGAGTAGCTGTACTGTCTTTGACACAAAAGCCTGGTTAATGCTCTTTTTATTGGTTGAGTAAGGCTAAAAGTATTCACATCAATTTCCTATTGCCACAGAGTGATCCAGGTCATGACAAATCACAAGCCAAGTTACTAGACCATTACTAAACTACCATCACATAAGGATCAGTTAGTAAGTTTGACCTTTTAAACCAAACTGCAAAATGTTCTTTTGATTAAAGTCTGCAACAGTCCCCTGAGATCTCCAGTACTGAATGTTAGGGATTTAACACAACACTGAGATTTTGGCAGATAAATGTACTTTTTCCTCATAAGCTTTCCAATTCACACACAGTTTTAAATTCCCTTGTTCTGTAGAATTACCATTCTATGCTTAGTTTTATTTTGAAGGCAGTTGAATTTCTTTCCATGGTGCGGACTCATGACCAGGAAGCCAATTTAACAGGAGAAAGTAAAAGTTTTATTCTTTCTGAGAAAATTAGCTATTTAAGGATAAATACTCTAATTTGTCCTTTCAACCTAGGTTTATGGGTAATTCTCAGCTTCTTTTAAATACCTTTCTAATTTCTCCCTTGAATAATCCTCTTTTTATTTCAGTTGTTTTTTTTTTCCTATTCAATAGTTCAGTAAACCTTTCATCATTCTAATTTTTTGTACACTGCTGTACCCAGTATTTACTTCTAATTTGGTCCATATATTTTTGCCCACTTTTTCTACAGTGCTGGCTCACACAAATCTAAATCACACACTGCAAATTATAAGTCTGTTGTACATACATGTGAATATTTTTGTTCACATTTTTATTTCTGGCCTGAAAAATATATTATAGCACTAGAAAGTACACATGAGTAGCCTTTTAATTATTTTATATTCATTGAAAACAGTATAAAAGTGCAAATAAATTCCTTAACTCTTCCTAACTTGAGAGACTCAGTCCTCTCAGTTCCTTTTCGGACTTTAATAGCACTAGTTCTTCAGAAATCATGAAAAATTTCAGGGAACCTTGGTTGATATGCAGGCAAAATCAAGTTATGGATTTTACCCCTGGGATTTTTTCCCCATGTGACATTTGCTTTAATGCATTTATATCACAGAAAATTATTTAAATACAAGAGACATAATTTTATTGATATGTGAAACACAGATTAGGAGATATTTATTGAATTTTCATTTAACTTTTACTGATAATATTTTAGTTTTCTTTCAAATTCTAGTAGTCTTTTGTGATTTATGCTTCTGCCAAAATTACTTATATTATTTTTTATAACTGAGTTTATTTTATCTCAGGAGTCTTCCTGCTTCACTGGAATTTACATACTTTGCAAACTGCGCTATTCCATGTGTCAGGAGATCCTCAGAAGTTCTTAGGAGGTACTTTAATGAAGAGAAGCAGCAAGTGGGTAATTAAACATACAAATTCTAGGATCATAGCCTAACATTAAGCTTAATATTTCTTCTTTTATCAGCTTCGTGTATGTGTCATCAGTATAGGTTTTCATTTGAAAGAGTTATGTCCAAACATATTTTATAACCATTGCCCTAATGCATCAGGGAAAGTTTCTCTTGGACATTAAATATTCAATATGTAAATATCTGGTTCTTGTTTTTCCCACTGCTCATTTCAGATTTTCTCTAAAACTAACCATGTTCCTCTTGGTTCTCCATCTTCCCATAGTTCACAAAACTTTCTCATCTGTGATCCCAGCACTTTGGGAGGCTGAGACAGATGGATCACTTGAGGTCAGGAGTTCTAGACCAGCCTGACCAAAATGGCAAAAATACCATCTCTACTAAAAAAGCAATAATTAGCCGGGAATGGTGGTGGGTACCTGTAATCACAGCTACTTGGGAGGTTGAGGCAGGAGAGTTGCTTGAGTGTTAATTAGTAACATATTGCAGAACTATCTATGAATAAATATTTCCTATTGTACATTTCTTTGATGTTCCTGTATTTAAAATAAACCTTTTTTTTTTCCTAGAGTAGTATGACTTTTAGATAGCTTCTTCTCAGGTATCCATTTATCCTCTTCAATTCAGTTTACTTTTGTTCATGCTAAAACCTTAAGCTCCTGAAATATCAGTGAAATATGGAAAAGTAATTTTAAAATGTAAAATAAATGTAAATAAAACACCTCTTGAATTCAATCAATTAATTGGTGCATTTGCTTTTTGATTTTTCTATATGGAATATTATCTTAGGTTGAAAGAGAATTAGTAAGAAAAAACATTCTTGTCTTCAGAGAGCTCGTATCTATTTTGAGAGACAGTATGTGCATATTAAATTAAAACTAAAGATACAATGCAAATGCATGATAAATTAACCTTCATATAAGTAGTATAGATTATTACTTTTCAGAGTTCTCAGGTAGAGAGGTTTTCATACAGCCATGTGTGTTTGTTTGAAATAAAATTTTGATTAATGGAAAGGAGAGTGAGGCATTTTTGGTCAGTTCAGTGTCCATCCTCCCCAACCTTTTCTCCAAAACAAACCCAAATGCTGTCCAAGTGTCCACTCTCATCCAAGGAAACCCACTACAAACCAAAAGATATGAGTCTTGGCTATTCTAAGCCAATCAAAGTGTTCCATTTCTTTTGCTATAACTTGATTTAATGATGGCCATGTGATGTAATCCGACCAGTAACATGCTAGAAGAATATACATAATCTTTGAGACCTCTTCACATTTAATTAAGAAAAAGGAGTGCTATGGGTTGGCTATGCCCCCACTTAAATCTCATCTTGAGCTGTAGTTCCCATAATCCCCAAGGGTTATGGGAGGGACCCAGTGCAAGGTAATTGAATTATAGGAGTGGTTACTTCCATGTTGTTCTCATCATAGTGAGTGAGTTCTCACAAGATCTGATGGTTTTATAAGAGGACTCCCCACCCCCTGACCACTTTGCTCTGCATTTCTCTCTCCTGCCACCATGAGAAGATGGATGTGTTTGCTTCCCTTTCTGCCATAATTGTAAGTTTCCTGAGACCTCCCCAGCCCTGTGCAACTGTGAGTTAATTAAACCTCTTTCTTTTTAAAATCACCCAGTCTCAAGTATGTCTTTATTAGCAGCATGAGAATGGACTAATACAGTATATTGGTACCAGGAATGTGGCATTGCTGTAAAGATGCCTGAAAATATGGAAGTGACTTTGGAACTGGATAACAGGCAGAGGTTGGAGGGCTCAGAAGAAGAAAAAAAAATGTTGAAAAGTTTGGAACTTCCTAGAGACTTGGAGGGCTCAGAAGACAGGAAGATGTGGAAAAGTTTGGAACTTCCTAGAGTCTGGTTGAATGACTTTGACCAAAATGCTGATAGTTATATGGACAATAAAATCCAGGCTGAAGTGGTCTCAGATAGAGATGAGGAATTTGTTGGGAACTGGAACAAAGGTGACTCTTGTTATGCTTTAATAAAGAGACTGGAAGCATTTTGCCCCTATCTAGAGATCTGTGGAACTTTGAACTTATGAGAGATGATTTAGGGTATCAGGTGGAAGAAATGTCTAAGCGGCAAACTGTTCAAGAGGAAGCAGAGCATAAAAGTTTAGAAAATTTGCAGCCTGTCAATGTGATAGAAAAGAAACCCCCATTTTGTGGGGAGAGATTCAAGCCTGCTACAGAAATTTGCTTAAGTAACAAGGGAGCAAATGTTAATCAAAAAGACAATGGGGAAAATGTTTCCAGAACTTGTCAGAGACCTTCACAGCAGCCCTTCCCATCACAGACATGGAGGCCTAGGAGGTAAAAATGGTTTCCTGGTCTGGGTCCCGCCTTGGGACTTGGTGCCCTGAGTCTCAGCCACTTCGGCCATGGTTAACAGGGTCCGAGGTACAGCTCACGCTATAGCTTCAGAGGGTGCAAGCCCCAAGCCTTGGCAGCTTCCAAGTGGTGTTGGTCCTGCAGGTGCACAGAAGGCAAGAATTTAGGTTTGGGAACCTCCACCTGGATTTCAAAGGATTTAGGGAAATGCCTGGATGTCCCGACAGAAGTATGCTACAGGGTGGAGCCTTAATGGAAAACCTCTGCTATGGTAGTGAGGAAGGAAAATATGGTGTTGGAGCCCACACACAGAGTCCCCACTGGGGCACTGCCTAGTGTAGCTGTGAGAAAAGGGCCACCATCCCCCAGACTCCAGAGTGTTAGATCCACCTCCTGCTTGCAGCATGCACCTGGAAAAGCCACAGACACTCAATGCCAGCCATGAAAACAGCCAGGAGGGGGGCTGTACCCTGCAAAGATACAAGGGTGGAACTGCCCAAGGCCATAGGAACCCACCTCTTACAACAGTGAGGCCTGAGTGTGAGACATGGAGTCAAAGGAGATCATTTTGGAGCTTTGAGATTTGACTGCCCGCTGGATTGGACTTGGATGGAGCCTATATCCCCTTTGTTGTGGCCAATTTCTCCCATTTGGAATGTGTGTATAGACTTTGGATTTGGACTTGGACTTTTGAGTTAATGCTGAAATGAGTTAAGACTTTCCAGGACACTTGGGAAGTCATCAGTGTGTTTTAAAGTGTGAGGACATGAGATTTGGGAGAGGCCAAGATGAAATGATATGGTTTGCCTGTGTTCCTACCCAAATTTCATTTTGAATGGTAGTTTCCATAATCCCCATGTGTCATGGGAGGGACCCAGTGGGTCCCTCCATGATGGCAGTTACCTCCATACTGTTTTCTTGATGGTGAGTTAGTTCTCATAAGATCTCATAGTTTTATAAGGCATTCTCCCAGCCTACACTCTGTATTTCTCTCTCCTGCCACCATGTGAATAAGGATGTGTTTGCTTCCCTTCTGCCATAATTGTAAGCTTCCTGAGACCTCCCCAGCCCTGTGGAACTGTGAGTCAATTAAACCTCTTTCCATTATAAATTCTCAGTCTCAGGTATGTCTTTATTAGTATCATGAGAATGGACTAATAAAAGGAGGTAGAAGGAATAGGTGAAATCATTTACTGTGTTAATCTCCTAGAACTGTTGTAGGCATTTTGTGAACCTAATATATCACTGGAGGAAAAAGCTCTTATACCAAGTATAGTATAGTAAAAAAATAAGAAGGAAAACCTTGAGATTGCAAATATTTTGAGCAACTAAATGTCTCTTCTAAAGAGCTCCTATATTTGTACTAGTGATTAAGAAAGCCAACAATGGCCAAGTGTGGTGGCTCACGCCTCTAATCCCAACACTTTGGGAGGCTGAGGCGGGTGGATCACCTGAGGTCAGGAGTGCAAGACCAGCCTAACATGGAGAAACCCCGTCTCTACTAAATACAAAATATTAGCCAGAAATGTTGGCATATGCCTGTAATCCCAGCTACTTGGAAGGCTGAGGCAGGTTAACTGCTTGAACCTGGGAGGTGGAGATTACAGTGAGCCGAGATCACACCATTGCACTCCAGGCTGGGCAAAAAGAGTAAAACTCAGTCTCAAAAAAGAAAAGAAAAAGAAAGCCAACAATTACCCTCGTTGTCATAACTATTGAGCCAGGCTTTTCCACTACCTGCATTTCCTAATATAAAGTATATTTTACACTAAGAAGAATGGGAAGCATGAATCATGCTAGAGAGACAGAGAAGGTCATGTTGGCTCATTTATAAGCAACAGCTTTTAACTTAGCTTAGGCAAAATATATTCAAGAGGTGTAGGCTAGTATAAGTTTTAAAATTTGTGCAAGAGATAAACACCTTAAAATCAGCAAGAGCCAATAGAAATGGATGGAATTTACATATTTTTAATGATTACTATTTTTAAAGTATTGTTTTAGAGATGCTTGGCATATTGCTAGCTTTCTATATTTTCAGAGGTAAAATAGAAGACAACACCGGTGTTTGGATAAGGGGGGAGGGGCTAAAATTTAGGAAGTAACACAACTAAGGGCCCATGGGCAGTGGTTGTGTTACTTGAAGAGGCCTGTGGCCAAAGCATATTAAATGTTATATTAAAAAATTGACAGTCGGGAAAAGGCATGATAAATGTGATATGCTGGGGATTTAATTCTTGCTTGTGCTTTGTTATTGGTCCTGTTTGATATGTACTTCGTTGTTGGTAGGAAATCAGATTTTCAAGTTTCAGAAAGGTTTATGACCTAATTTCATCTTCCAGCAGGCAATCACCATAGCTAGGCCTGGATATTTTCTTGAAGAGTTAATGTTAATTTTCTGTAATTCTGACCAAATGTCCAGAAAATACAAACACACACTGGTAGACTGTGACAGGTTAAAATGCCCACTATGTGCATTGCCGAAGGTTTCGTTTCATTTCTAGTTAATATCCTCTGGGCCTCTCAAATAGAGGCAGGGAAAACAAGGGTCATGTGTTATCTCTCCACCTTCTTGCAAATTAGCAGAATTTTTCTGTTTCAGCGGTTGAAGTATACACTAGCCATCAAAACTGAGACTTGATTGAGCTTCATCTATCACATTTTCAGTGGAAATATTTCCATATTTCAGAAATGGCTTGACCATCAGACTTAGTTTCCAAAGGTACTGCGGTTTTCTATTTTTGTTTTCTGTAAAAAAGGATAGATCTAAAACTTATTCAGAGGCTGCTTTAAGTTAGAAGCTCTAGGGCCTTTTTCCTTAAGTTAAGGTGATGCAAATCTAACTTTATACAAGAGTAAAACAGCTAAGGGAGAAGGAGTTGTGGTGGATATTGGAAAAAGTGAGGTCAAAAGAGGAAAAATTAGGCTTGAATAGTAACAACGACATTTCATATGAGACACAAATAATATAGGAGTTGATAAGTTTAAAGAGATAGACTTACAGTTAGAAAATATGGCAGATTGGATAGTTCTTGCTTAAGGTCCTTACTCTCAAAAGTGAAAACTAAGGTACTCTTTCTTCATCAAAAGGAGGATAGAATGTTGAGCTTGCAGAAAATGTAAAAATTTGTTCTATGTGAAGTTATTCATGAAATCAGCAGGATGAAAACACAAAGTTTACAAAAGATGAATGAAAAGGCAGATGAAGTTAGTCAGGAAAAGCCTGTTTCGGGTCAGGTAAAAAAATGCTCGATACTCATTTTTAGTAAATTAAAATATAGAGTGGGGATATGAGAGGATTTGATGCCGTGTATTGTCAAGACAAGGGACAGGAAAGGTGATTTGTGCTTGGAAAAAAGTACATTGGTTATTGTCTTTATTGTCTGGTGTATCATTGGTTCTATTTTAATGACTTTAATAGTGGGTGGATAGTGATTTTTCTATTTTGCTTTTTGAGAATGTAATGTGGATGCAATAGCAGACTAGCAGTAGATCTCACAGGGAATAATGACAAAAGCAAAAAAGGCTTTTATAGCTGTAACTCTTTATCGCTTGCTATTGCTAATTCTCTTTTATCATATTATTATGATGCCCATTTTTAGGTCCTTACTTATTTCATCTACTTAGTTCCTCAGGAATCATAACCTTTAACAGGATTGGTCACTTTTTTATTGAACTTTCAGAACATAAAATTTTTAGTACTTTAGTTTTCTGTGATTTCAAATTGGAAATAACAACTACATATATTTAAGTATCATGCAGGCAATTATATGCTACAGTGTAAATTGTACTTTTATGAATTTTCAGATTTTAGTGACACTGTGGCTTCCAGAAGGGGCTTTAGCCATAATGTACTTTAGAGAGCTACTGAAAGCAAAAAATTATGGTTACAATTCCAATTAAAGGAAATAAGTGATTTATATAATTCTGAATCTATCTGGGTGGAAGAAAACACCAGTATGCTGAAGGTCTAATTTGATGATAATAATTTCTTGCACTTATATAGTGCTTTATACTGCTTAAAATGTTTTAATTTACACAATCTTATTTCAACATCACTAAATTCATAGATAGTAGTAAAGGTAGTTCATATAAATCCAACTTGGTCACTATTTTATCCCGGAACCATTTGACTAACAAAATCCAAGATCAAATCTATGTATTTATTGCCTTGAATCTGTTTAGTAACAATGCCTCTACCTCAATTCAGTTCCTTTTCTTCTATGATGATTTCCACAGGATGAATCACAATATGTTCAGGATATATTATGCTGCCATAACACACCTCATATTCCTGTTTCAGTTTTTAAGAGTTATGCGACTTGAATAGTGATTTGCAAATTCTAAAAACTGATGAGAAATAAACTGTTTTCTATTTTTTACCTTACATAATTCTAACTTACCTCTTGTTCATCTCTTTAAGGAGAGATCTATGCTAGAATAAAGCAAGAATCATTAATCACAGTAGCACAGTTAAGGCATAGACCTTTTCTCAGATAACTTATTTGGGTCATCCCAACTGATTTTTTTTTATCATTTGAAATAGTGATTTTGCTTGTGATAACTAATGGAATATTTCTTCTGCACTGTATTCTAAGCAGTGTCCCAGTTTTGTCCTATTTTTAGCAATTCAGACTCTGAAAGGCATACTGCCAGCTCAAATGCAAACATTCTTGCCTGATAAACTGGACCTGCAACAATATTTGTCTTATTCTGTCCCCAAAATGTTTAGATAAGTAACATTTTGTCATTATGAGTTTATTTTCTACCATTCTAAATAAACCTAGAATTTTCCTTTTGAAATGCACAATGTTACTAAAATCCAAAGCAGAAGACAAAGCAAAATAAATACATTTACCAGATTTTCCTTAACTGTGTAATTAATTTTCTCTCCAGATGCACTAGCATTGTGTTCCCTATAACAGTCATTGAATGAACAGCAGTAGAAGACAATATGCAAGAAATAGGCTTGAAAATAAGACAGACCTGGGTCCTAATCCTGGATCAGCCACTACCTCTGAAACTATGTGTCTAAACTCAGTAAATGTCAGTTACCTCAAATAAACGAGCAAAGAGCAAAATGTACTAATATGTATACCCAGCAGGATTGTTGTAAGAATTAAATATATTGAATGTATACAAAATGCCTTTATAATATTTGTGGAATAAAAATATTAGTGTAGCTTTCAAACCATTAACTAAAATTAGTTTTGTATAGAATTAATTTTAATATATAATTTAATATATTATTAAAATTTAATAGAATCTATAACTAATTCATCCTTGCATTAGTGTTCTTTGCTGTGTAACAAATCACCAAACTTAGTGATTTGAAACTAACTCATTTATTATCACATACTTTCTATAGGCTAAGGGTCTGGCCATGGCTAAACTGATTTCTGGGCTCAAGGTCTCACAGGCTGAAATCAAAGTTTTGGCTGAGCTGTGGTCTCATCTGAAGGCTTGACTAGGGAAGGATTTTCTTCTCAACTCCTCAGGTTTTTGACAGATGTCATAAGTCTGTGGCCGTAGAATTCATAACAGTTGGCTTCTTAAAATATATTAATAAAGAGAGAAAGCTTCTGATACTTCAATTATCTAACTACAGGAAAGGACTGCACTCTCTTCTAAAGGGATAACCTGATTAGTTCAGGCCCACTCAAACCAATCTTCCTTTTGATGAACTCAAAGTCAGCTGATGAATGACTTAATTACGTCTGCAAATCTTTTTATTTGTGCCATATTGTATTAGTTAGAAGTAATCTGTAGGTTCTGCCTTTTTTAAAAAGTATATTTTATATATTTTATACTTTATGTCTTTATATTATATTCAAAGACAGAGAATTATACAAGGATGTGGCTTATTTTGGATTACCTTAGAGTGGGTCTACCACAATCCCTTTTAGTAAAAAAAATTATGTATAACATAAGTAGAAGCATATATGAGAATAGAAGTAAGAATGGAAGGAAAGAAATGAATAAATGGAAGTTTTGGAATTATTTACCTTCATTAAGATTTAATACTTTCCTTTACCTTCTTGCATGTCACTAAAGGTGGAATACTACTAAAGCTTGTACTTTGAATTGCAGAGGCAGCATGTAGTAAAAACTTAAAATATTCTCTCTAAGCTTTTATTCTCTTTATTTTTTGAGACAGAGTCACTCTGTCACCTAGGCTGCAGTGCAGTGGCGTGATCTTGGCTCACTGAAACCTCTGCCTCCTGGGCTCAAGCAACCATCCCACCTCACCCTCCCACCTCAGCCTCCCAAGTAGCTGGGACTACAAACTTGTGCTGCCACACAGGCTATTTCTTATATTTTTTGGTAGGGATGGGTTTCCCTATGTTGCCGAGGCTGGTCTCAAACTCCTGGGCTTAAGCAATCCACCCTCCTTGGCCTCCTAAAGTGCTGGGATTACAGGTGTGAGCCACCACACCCAGCCTTCCAAGCTTTTTTAGACAAAGGGTGTCCAATCTTTTGCCTTCCCTGGGCCACATTGGTAGACAAAAAAATTTGGGGCAGGTGGGTCACACGTAAAATTCACTAACACTAATGATAGCTGATGAGCTAAAAGAAATCTCAAAAAATTCTCATAAAGTTTTAAGTAAGTTTATGAATTTATGTTGGTCTGCATTCCATGCAGCCTGAGGGTTGTAGGTTAGACAAGCTTGACTAGACTTTAAGTGTTTCATGGAAACTATTATGCTATTTCTGGCATGTGATTTTAAGACTTTTGGAGAGTCATATACCATAGCCCGAGTAAAACACTTAGAAGAAAAATGCAAATTTTCCAAAAAATTTACATTCGAACTCAGAGTTTGAGGGTATCTAAAAAAATTTGTCTTTCTCTTCTTTGTACTTGATAAAAATTAATCCTTTTACAAATTCTTCTGAAGATTGTAGGCAAAATTCTGGTATTGGTCAGTTTTCTCTTATTACATGGTAAAAATTTGACTGTACTTTTATTTTCATAACAAAATGATTTCATTATAAAATATTTGGAAAACAATTATAAGAATAATAAACATTCAACATATTCTAACATTCATTGGCAAAATCCTTGTGCGTCTTTGTGCATTTCAAGTTATTTTCATGTATATTTTTGTGGTGAGATTTTTTGTTTTATATCCACGGTCACATTAAACATGTAATTAAATTTTGTGAAGATATTTATATTGCTTTTCAATGTAAACATTTTTATGACATCAAAAAGCACTTATTAAATCTTTATTAGACATAAATATGCTGCTAGGAGCTAGACACAGAAAAATTAACTAGTATTCAGAGATGAGTTTTCTAGAAACAGTAACATATGCCTAAAAACATACAGGATATTTATCATAGATTAATTAATTAATACTCTCTTATGTTAGAAATGTTAGCTATTATTATTATTTTTCTATACTGGATTGCTGAATAATGAATACGTCAAATTTTATGTAAATGATTATTTCAGAATTAGGATTATTACACAGGAGATATAATTGCTTGACCAATGTTATGTTGGAATTTTGTTTATGTCTCTGTTGTGCTTCACAAATATTTCTGAAGACATGCCCAAGATGCTCAATTGACCATACTCTCACTAGCTCTCAAGAGCCACCCAAGAATATCTACTACTTTGATATTAATAATAGTTCTTTACATTTCTCTTTTCTATCTTATTCTTTTCCCGTAGTCAAGCTGTTCTCCATCTGAACCCCAAAGTTGCTCAGAGCTTCCACTCAGAATTTACTTCTTACTGTGTTACCTGACACTGTCAAGGGTGATATGATTAGGTTGCATAGGTCATCTCTTAGCTTCCTGAAATCTTCTTAGTCTCCTCCTAAGTATATTGACCTTACTCTGAGGATGTTAAAAAAATAAACATAATATCAAAGTAATTTTTATGATATGTCTAAAGATAGATTTAGGACTTAAATAATTATACCTTGATTTCTCAGTATATAAAACTAAGGAATATACTTCATACACTTAGGCATATATTTTTTCCTTTAACAGGCATGTTTTTGTTTTTCTTCTAGGACTCTGCAACCCTGGCTTATCTTCCTAAATTGTTAAGATTATTTTTTGTGTATGTGTAGGTAACACATACTTACTCCTCAAAGTTTTCTTTATTGCTTGGCATTTTCCCACTCCGATATAGTTCCTTGAGCTGTTGATAATTTAAATAATCTTTTTTAAATAGTGATGTAAGTATTCCTTCAACTAGTAATTAAAAGCCTTCTATATAACTAACTCCATTCTGATACATAATTTCCCCACGATTCTGTTCTCAAGGAGATTATAGTATAGCGTAAAACAACCTGTAATAAGTTATCCGTTATAATAGATACCCGGAAAAAGTGTGGTGGGAACACAGAGGAAGAAAAACTAAGTAGTGAATGCTCTTCAAAAAACATGGACTTTTGCCGAATCTTCATCTCAACATTTTAAGATCCCATCCAGAGAATTAAGAAATTAAACAATAGTGGAGGTTGCCGTGAGCCGAGATCAAGTCATTGCAGTCCAGCCTGGGCAACAAGAGCAAAACTCTGTCACAAAAAAAAAAAAAAGAAATTAAGCAATGAAAAGGCATTTCTGTTAGTCCAGGAAAAGGCTTAGAAGAGCTTACATTAAAGAGGTAGCAATTAGGGGGAAGGGAACTAACAGTTTAAGAGTTATTGAATATGTAGAATCAAAATAAAATAAAAAACAAATAGATCAGGTCTATACCAAGATAGGAAATAAACAATATCTTGAGAATAACATAATTATTTGTGGCATTTAAACTGGAACTGTTATAAGCAAGTTGGAGAAGAGTTCACAAAGGGCAGTTGGAAAGTATCAGTGACTATTTAAAACGCTACCATTGTGGAAGACAGTGTGGCGATTCCTCAAGGATCTAGAACTAGAAATACCATTTGACCCAGCCATCCTATTACTGGGTACATACCCAAAGGAATATAAATCATGCTGCTGTAAAGACACATGCACACGTATGTTTATTGCAGTACTACTCACAATAGCAAAGACTTGGAACCAACCCAAATGTCCAACAATGATAGATTGGATTAAGAAAATGTGGCACATATACACCATGGAATACTATGCAGCCATAAAAAATGATGAGTTCATGTCCTTTGTAGGGACATGGATGAAGCTGGAAACAATCATTCTCAGCAAACTATAGCAAGGACAAAAAACCAAACACCGCATATTCTCACTCATAGGTGGGAATTGAACAATGAGAACACTTGGACACAGGAAGGGGAACATCACACACCGGGGGCTGTTGTGGGGTGGGGGGAGGGGAGAGGGATAGCATTAGGAGATATACCTAATGTAAATGATGAGTTAATGGGTGCAGCACACCAACATGGCACATGTATACATATGTAACAAACCTGCACATTGTGCACATGTACCCTAGAACTTAAAGCATAAAATATATATATATATATATATAACCCTAGAGTAGATGAGACCCTTCTAAGTGAGAGAAGAGTCGAGAACTGTGCTGTCTAATGCAATACCCACTGACCACCTAGTTATATAGTAGAATTTAAAATAAAGATCCTCAGTTATATCAGTTGCAATTAAAGTGCTTAATAGAAACATGCGGCCAGTGACTATGTACTGGAGGGCACAGAAAAACATTTCTATCGTTACAGAAAATTCTGTTGAGCAATGCTCGTCTAGAAACTATAGATTATCAATGCTACAGAGCAATGTAGAATGGTTAGAGAGATAAGAGGATACAATTATTAAAGTCTTGCATTATAAAATCAAAGAGAAGAAATTTCATCTTTTAAGTGATGCTCATCCACATACCTCAATGATATAAAACAATAATTTCTCAGGATATCTGAGGGGCCCCAGGTACCTCTCGAGCTTAAGTAGGAGAAAAACCCTTCAAAAAATCAATGAATCCAGTAGCTGTTTTTTTTAAAAGATTAAAAACAAAAAATAGACCACTAGCCAAACTAATAAAGAAGAAAAGAGAGAATAATCAAATAGATGCAATAAAAAAGGGTAAAGGGAATATCACCACTGATCCAACAGAAATACAAACTACCATCAGAGATACTATAAACACGTCTACACAAATAAATTAGAAAATCTAGAAGAAATGGATAAATTCCTGGACACATACACCCCCCAAGACTAAACCAGGAAGAAGTCGAATCCCTGAATAAACCAATAACAAATTCTGGAATTGAGGCAGTAATTAATAGCCTACCAACCAAAAGAAGACCAAGACCAGACGGATTCGCAGCCAAATTCTGCCAGAGATACAAAGAAGAGCTGGTACCATTCCTTCTGAAACTATTCCAAACAACAGAAAAAGAGGGAATCCTCCCTAACTCATTTTATGAAGCCAGCATCATCCTGATACCAAAACCTGGCAGAGATACAACAAAAAAAGAAAATTTCAGGCCAATATCCCTGATGAATATCGATGCAAAAATCCTCAGTAAACTACTGGCAAACCAAATCCAGCAGTACATCAAAAAGCTTATCCACCACAATCAAGTCGGCTTCATCCCTGGGATGCAAGGCTGATTCAACATATGCAAATCAATAAACATAACCCATCACATAAACAGAACCAATGACAAAAACCACATGATTATTTCAATAGATGCAGAAAAGGCCTTTGACAAAATTCAGCAGCCCTTCATGCGAAAAACTCCATAAACTAGGTATTGATGGAAAGTATCTCAAAATAATAAGAGTTATTTATGACAAACCCACATCCAATATCATACTGAATGGGCAAAAACTGGAAACATTCCCTTTGAGAACTTGTACAAGACAAGGATACCCTCTCTCACCACTCCTATTCAACATAGTATTGGAAGTTCTCGCCAGGGCAACCAGGCAAGAGAAAGAAATAGAGGGTGTTCCATTAGGAAAAGAGGAAGTCAAATTGTCTCTGTTTGCAGATGACATTATTGTATATTTAGAAAATGCCATCATCTCAGTCCAAAATCTCTGTAAGCTGATAAGCAACATCAGCAAAGTCTCAGGATACAAAATCAATGTGCAAAAATCACAAGCATTCCTATATACCAGTAACAGACAAATGGAGAGCCAAATCGTGAGTGAATTCCCATTCACAATTACTACAAAGACAACAAAATACCTAGGAATACAACTTACAAGGGGTGTGAAGGACCTCTTCAAGGAGAACTACAAACCACTGCTCAACGAAATAAGTGAGGACACAAACAAATGGGAAAACATTCCATGCTCATGGATATGAAGAGTCAATATCGTGAAAATGGCCATACTGCCCAAAGTAATTTATAGATTCAATGCTATCCCCATCAAGCTACCACTGACTTTCTTTACAGAATTGGAAAAAACTACTTTAAAGTTCATATGGAACCAAAAAAAGAGCCCGCATAGCCAAGACAATCCTAAGCAAAAAGAACAAAACTGGAGGCATCACGCTACCTGACTTCAAACTATACTACAAGGCTGCAGTAACAAAAACAGCATGGTACTGGTACTAAAACAGATATATAGACCAATGGAACAGAACAGAGGCCTCAGAAATAACACCAGACATCTACAACCATCTGATCTTTGACAAAACTGACAAAAACAAGAAATGGGGAAAGGATTCCCTATTTAATAAATGGTTTTGGGAAAACTAGCTAGCCATATGCAGAAAGCTGAAACTGGATCCCTCCTTTCACCTTATACAAAAATTAACTTAAGAGGATTAAAGACTTAAACATAAGACCTAAAATCATAAAATCCCTAGAAGAAAACCTAGACAATACCATTCAGGACATAGGCATAGGCTAAGACTTCCTGTCTAAAACACCAAAAGCAATTGCAACAAAAGCCAAAATAGACAAATGGAATCTAATTAAACTAAAGAGCTTCTGCACAGCAAAAGAAACTATCATCAGAGTGAACAGGCAACCTACAGAATGAAACAAAATTTTTGCAATCTACCCACCCAACAAGGGGCTAATATCCAGAATCTACAAACAACTTAAACAAATTTACAAGAAAAAAACAAACAACCCCATCAAAAAGTGGGCAAAAGATATGAACAGACATGTCTCAAAAGAAGACATTTATATGAGATGTCAACAGACATATGAAGACATGCTCATGATCACCGGTCATTAGAGAAATGCAAATCAAAACCACAAAAAGAAACCATCTCAAGCCAGTTAGAAAGGCGATCTCTAAAAAGTCAGGAAACAACAGATGCTAGAGAGGATGTGGAGAAACAGGAATGCTTTTACACTGTTGGTGAGAGTGTATATTAGTTCAACCATGGTGGAAGACAGTGTGGCAAATCCTTAAGCATCTAGAACTAAAAATACCATTTGACCCAGCAATCCCATTACTGGATATATACCCAAAGGCTTATATATCATTTTACTATAAAGACACATGCACATGTATGTTTATTGCAGCACTGTTCACAATAGCAAAGACTTGGAACCAACCTAAATGTCCATTAATGATAGACTGGATAAAGAAAATGTGGCACATGTACACTAAGGAATACTATGCAGCCATAAAAAAAGGATGAGTTCATGTCCTTTGCAGGGGCATGGATGAGGCTAGAAACCATCATTCTCAGCAAACTAACACAAGAATAGAACACCAAACACCACAAGTTCTCATTCATAAGTGGGAGCTGAACAATGAGAACACATGGACACAAGGAGGGGAACGTCACACACCCGGGCCTATCAGGGGGTGGGGGACTAGGGGAGGGATAGCATTAGGATAAATACCTAATGTAGATGACAGATTAATGGGTGCAGCAAACAACCATGGCATGCGTATACCTATGTAACAAACCTGCACATTCTGCACATGTACCCCAGTAATTAAAGTATAAAAATACAAAAATTAAAAAAATTTAAAAGTGAGGTGGATAGTATCAGCCGTCTGCATGCTTTAATGTTATGTCACTACACTTTTAACATGAACTCATTGTGATAGAATGAATGTTTATTATTTTGGCTGTTTAGAATCTATATCAATGTACCTATAATTTGTTCTAGTATCAACCATTCAATATTTTCAGTTGTCCATTTGTCTACTGTAGGCTTCATGAGAAGAACTTCTGACCAAATGCTGGCAGACCAGGATTCCTCAAATCCTCACAAAAAGGGCAATGACACAAGTTTGTTTAATGAGAGTAAAACCTAGGAATTTTGCAGGAAATATAAAGAGATGTTCTTTATTGTACTTGAACTAGGATGAGTATAGATCCAGATCTGCTGAAACTCCAGGTACAATTAGTTTAAGATGAAACAAGCATCAATATTAACGGATCTCAAGTTTAACAAAAATACCTGGGTTTCTCTGTAAAGCTAGGCTTTAATCGAGCTCTATTTCTGGATTAGTGAGTTATATGAATTAATATACTCTTTTCATCTTAAACCAATTTTTATTGAACATTTCTTCCACTAATAATCTAAGTCTCTAGCAATACACAAGGTCTTTAAACTCCTTAAGGCTATTCTAGAGTCATTGCTGATTTTTTTGTTTGTCGTTTGTTTCTTTTTGTTTTTGCTATTTTCAAGGTACGCTGATCTTTAAAGAATTCCAATCTAGAAGGAGGTGACTGTGTTCCGTGAGCCTGAGCCTCTAAAACAAAGGCTCTGAGGCCTGGCGTGGTGGCTCAAGCCTGTAATCCCAGCACTTGGGGAGGCCAGGGTGGGCAGATCACTGTAGGTCAGGAGTTTGAGGCTAGTCTAGCCAAGATGGCACAATGCCGTCTCTACTAAAAATGCAAAAATTATCTGGGCATGGTGGTACATGACTGTAATCCCATCTACTCAGGAGGCTGAGGCAGGAGAATCGCTTGAACCCAGGAGGCAGAAGTTACAGTGAGCTGAGATCGTGCCACTGCACTCCAGCCTGGGAGACAGAGTGAGACTCCATCTCAAAACAAACAAATAAACAAACAAACATAAAACAAACAAAAAATAAAATCCAAGGATCTGAGATTCTTTTAGAGAAAGAATATGGATCTTCACTTTCTGTGGATGAAATAATAGAATAGGCTTTTGAATCTGAAGAGGTCTTTATGAGATAGAGTGGCTGGCTAGACTTAAGTTTAAAACCCAGGCTGTTCACATGAGATTTAAGAGTCTCAGAGAGCCAGTGATGTATAATTCTCCAATCTTCCAACTCTACTCCTTACTAGGTATTGGAGTAAGTACCACAATTACTGCACACTCCCAGTCAGACATGAGGAGATAGTAGCACATTGAAAACCTGCATTGTGAATTCAGGAATTCAGCAATAACAAGGGACAAAGATACAAAAAATATAATAAAACTTATAGTCCAGAAGTTGCAAAGTTTATACAGTGCTTTCGGCAAGGGGTGAACTACACACTTCTTTAAATTAGAAGCCTCAAATCACCCTTTATACCAAGAAGCAGAATCAGAAAAACATTTCTTTATTCCTGCTGAATCCTATAAGGTAACGGCTGCCCAACAGCAGAGAAAACTGACTCAGGGCTCTTGATATTATTTGCCTTCCACATTAAGAACTGAGAGAAAGGTTCACAGAGAAACCTTGACAAGAGGGACTAGGACAATTTCTGGCCAACAATGGATCTGAATACTTGGGAGCAGGGAACAGTCAAAATAATTAAAGATGAAAAAAAAAGTGGAATGATGGTGAATTTTGTAATGAGATTGCTACCAGACCATTTGCGATTGAGAGGACATCAGTGCTTTGGAAGAATAAACTTAGGAACCTATTTTAAGTCATCTGCTTTTTGTTCTCAACCAAAAATTAATAAAATATAAAACAGGAAATAAATATATTATGAAAAGCTTACAGATAGAAATTGAACTGAATAAGACCAAGTAAGATGACATAAAAACTAGAAATCTGATAGAGAATTTTAAAGCACGGTTTATAGAAAGAAGAACAGAAATGACAATGAATAACATATAATGAGTAATGAGAAGAATAATCTTAAAATGCTCTATCAGAATACAGAAGATTTTTAAAATATTAGATTTAACATTACAGAGAGCATAGAACTATAAATGTCTATTTTCTAACAACAGAAAAACTTTTAAGAAGTCATAAGCAAAAGAGATACTTAAGAGGTATCTGAAATATAAGTGGAAAGTACTTCAGGGAAATACACTGGGAAATACTAACAAATAATGGAGGAGGATGAAGATATAAAGGTAGTTTTTATTTTCTTTTTGAGATTAAAGCAAAATAAAAAAAAATCTCTATTGGCCCAGACTTCACAATAATAAGGAGAAGAAAATAATGTCATATCATTTACTGAGTACTGAGGAAACTGTTTGTGATTTAGTAATTGTATTTCCTACCAAGTTGTTCATTTCCAAAGACAACTGGAGAAATAATCAGATAACAAGGTTCTGAAATTATCACCAAATTCTTGTGTTTTCTGAAAAAACATTCAAATGTGTGACAAATTATCTGATTTAAACATAAGAAATCTATAATTCACAGTAGTCCCTTTACAGGCTTTTAATTCTATGTAGAAAATAAGCATAAAGTTTAATTATTTTTTTAAACTAAACATGGGTTCATGACTCAATGCAATCTTAGAATATCATTCCAAAGAAATGTATATAATATGTATTTTAACATTTTGAAATACAAACTTAATTTATATTTTAATTTTAATACTTCCTTTTCACATCGATGAGCTTTCACCTCCCATTTTCTGTCCCACATGATGTCTTTTTTTATGACTAATTTCCCTAGGAAATTAAAAGTAAATGTTCTAAATTTGTGGATATGTAATTGTGATAACAACATTGGTATCATGTAAGGCAATTACTTATTATTGAAATACAAACCAATTGTTAATTTGACTTGGAATTTCTTAATGAAATTGAAATTTAACATAGAAGTCACTAATAAATGGATAGGTAGTTGCAAAAATTATACTGTTAAACTTTGTCAAAGATTTAATGAAAATAAGTGGCTGGTTTAAGGGCTTTGTTCTCATTTGTAAAGTTGAGATCAGTACTTTTAGATTGGTTGCTTAATTAATCCCTTTATCAACTTTATCCTCTATAGCACATGTTATGTAGCTAACTCTTTGTTCATTTTACTAGGTTGTCTACCAGGTGACCTGATTGTTGTGATTTATTCATTAATTGCAACAAAACACTGGTAATTATATTATATTCATTATCTTTTGACTTTCAGTATTATATGCATAACTAACTTATGATTACTTTTCTTGTACAAGTGAACTAAGATTTCAGTTTAATTTCAGTAGGCATCATGAAGTCATGTAAAGAGAATATCTGTGTGGCAGGAAAAGTGCTAATAATTACAAGACTTACAACCCTGGGCCAATTATCTAACCTCTTTGAGACTAATTTTCTTTCCACCTGTAAAATTGGTTTATAGAGATAGTTCTGTTTAACGCATGGTTTTTTTTCAGTAATGATATTAGAATATGTATGAAATTGCTTTATTAACTTAATATGCTGTTATTGTTATTACACTGATATAAAATTTCTTGCTATGCTATAGCAAATTTCAAAGTGAGATGAAAGGCTAGCTCTGTGATTATTGAAAAATTGGGTGGTGAAACTCTCTATTTTTAGAAAAAGAAGAATTTCAGGTTAGATATGTTGATATCCTTAATAACTCGGTCAATAATATATAAGGCATTTATAGAACAAATGTCGACATAATTTATCTAAAAAGGGCAAGATAGTAATACTATAGAATTTACAGGCCTAGAGAACAAATTTTAGATTTTTATGTACATACTTATTTAACCATGTTTTAAATGTAACCATTTAAATTGAAAAAACAAAGTGTATTTTTAGCTCAAAGACCATACAAAACCAAGCAGAAGTGAGAGTAGGATGGTGCAGATTTAGTCCACAGACAACAGTTTGCCAACCTTTGGAATACAGCAATATGTTCTATATTTTTTAAAGTCGCCCGTATAAATCTTTTGAAAAATCATGGTATCAAACCATATTTTTTTATAAATGATAAAGAAATACGGTTTCTAATTTACTCGACTAACATGTGGGAAAAAAATCAGTAGTTTTGTGTAATGAATACAGGTGGAGATAAGGGAGATTAGAATTTTGCACACTTTATAATCCAAAATTTTAATAAAGAAAAAAGTTGTATTAAATAACCTGAATTTGCCTTTGTGAAGAAATTCCAATTAAGGAGATCCTAGTGGATACAGAGCCTCTCGCCTATAATCCCAGCCCTTTAGGAGGCTGAGGAGGGAGGATGGCTAGAAGAGAGGAGTATGAGACCAGCCTATGCAACAAAGTAAGACCCTGTCTCTACAAAAAATAAATATTGTTGGCACGGTGGTGCATGCCTGAAGTCCTAGCTACTTAGGCTGAGTGGAAGGATCTCTTGAGCCTCCTCACTCGGAACACCATATTTTTTTCTGGGGCTCAAGTGATTTCTGTGAATTAAGCAGACATACTTTGAGACTACAGTGAGCTATGATTGGGCCACCGCACCCCAGCCTGGGTGAGAGAGCAAGACCCTATTTCTAAAAAAAATTTTTAAAGAAATTAAAAACAAGAAGATACTTATTGTACATTTATATATAGAAAAATCTTTCACCTCTAGAACTCCTTTCAAAATTTATTAAGTAAAAGAGGTAACAAACATTTGATTCAAATGGAAAATAAATATGAAACTAAGAAGAAGATATTTACTTAACAGTAATATTTTGCCCTTCTCTAATGTGAAAAACAATTATATCACTGTATCTTTAATGACCAGACATTTTTGTCACCCCAAATTCAGTTATGACTCACGCAGTTATTGTAATTAAGTTCATTAGATACAATAACTGCTCCTGACATTCTCAAGAAGAATCTTACAAAGCAGTTCTCTGATTAACCAATTTGTTGAGCAGATAATTCTTTAAAGAAATTTTGATCTGATTGATTTAAGATTCAAGTTTGTGTCTTTACAGGTACTTTTAAGATTGACAAAACAATCTTGTTTGGTATAAAAATATCTCCCATGCAAATGCATCTGGATTTAGATATTTTGTGTATTGGCAAGAGCCAATGCAATATTGTCCACGTAATGGTTATAATACAGCTTGTCTTAGCATAAAACTCCTCACTCAGGGCACAAGGCATATGAAAAAATGAAGGCATTGTTCTTGCTTACAGGGATGATAGTTGCAGGGGATGAGAATCTGACCCAAGGAATTATTTCTATTGATTGGACAATGATGTGGTCAAAGTTGAAAACTTTGAAACGTTAGGGTAATGGTAGTTATCTAAACTGATATAACCTGGTTCTAAATCCTTTAGACTATGAAATATGACAGTAATTGATCTGTGGTCTAGGCACCATATGAGACACTATAGATTGCAAGACTGGGTATAATCCCTAATTAGCAAATTAAAAATAATTATCAAGTGCCTACTGTGTTTTGGATACTGTACTGGATGTATAGGATATTTCTGTGAATTAAGCGGACATATAGAAGCTGACAGTCTAAAAGTTGGTGGAGCTTTTGGTCTCTTAGCATGCATAGCCTAATTGTGTCCTAAATAGATATGCAGATTAAGAGAAATTGGCATACTATGCCTTGTCTTTTAGCTATTCCAATCTCTGTTTTCCATCAATTTGTGGCTTTGATAACTTTTCCTACTTTTAGTTTTTTCTCATGTTTTTTCTTAACAGCTAATCTCTCCTACACTAGAAAAACCATAAAGCATAATTTGCTACCTCCACTCTAATTTTAGTAGTCATCATTGTTTACTATTAGTGGTAAAAGGTATATTCATTCCATAGTACAAAAAGAATTTTCTAAACAGTTTTCCTGATATATTTCTTTTAGAACTGAGCTAAAGAGAACAAGTGAAAAATTTGTCTTTGAATGGCATATATTATAAAACACAAATGTAACCATTAGGGTGTCTGGTAATTGACATATGAACACGCACAAAGTGTGTATTTTTATTACTGAAAGTATAATCTCAAGAAAAGAGAAAGAGTTCAGCAAAAATAATTAGCTTCTTCATTACTCAAATGGAATTTAGAAGCAAATAAGTCAAAGAGCCAAAAGTCTCTTCTTCTAAGCACTTTGTTATTGATGAAGCAATGGAAGGAGACTCTTCTGATAAGAGAAGGCAGCCTGGAGGACAAGTTCCTATTTCTGTGTGGAGACTACATTGGTGCACATTTTGTTTCTTTGGACAAAATATGAGGTACAACTTTTCTTTGTGAAATATTAGCTATGTGGATTTGGATACATTCATAGTGTGATTCAAAATGCTTTATTCTTTCATATTTTTGCCAACAATAAATACACCAATGGAGAACATTAAGACTGTGAATATTTTCTCATATATGACCAGGGATGAAAAAAGGTAATATGCAAAAAATATAAATTCAAATAAAAAATTGCACTTTTTCTTTAGAGTGTGGTGAAAATGGAATCTAGGATTACAGATGGCTTCAGGAAAGAACGCACTTCTTGGGAACATCAGGGCACTGATGCTGCCATTTCACTGTTGGTGAAAATAGGAAAACTGAATTTGGTTACAAAACCAGGACAGGCAATATCGGTAAAAGTGGCCTTATATAACAATTTCAGATTTATCAATGTAAATTAAACCTGAATTAAGATAAATTTTGTAAGTCAATTAAGGTTTTATGTTTGTTTTCTTAGGTCTAGAAGGTTCCGAACTTTGCAGACTGATTATTCTGTGGTTAATTAAAATTGGTGAAACTCCTTTTCCACTCTTTCTATTGAAAAGTGATATCTATTTCCTCTCCCCTCAAATTTGGGATTACCCTTAGACTTGTTGAATAAGTAAAATAGCATAATTTACACTCTCTAATTTCAGACAGTGTGTCTTGAGAGATCTACAGGTTGTCTTCACTGCATGGTCCTAATTCCTAAAAATAGCCACCATGCTGTGAAGAAGCAGAAGCAGCCACATGGAGAGACCCACATTAAGGACAACCAAGACATCCTCCCCACAGATGGATTTGCACTCAAAACTTCAGTCCTCTTACTAAGGCCATTTGGGACCTTCCAGGCATCTATGTATCCCAGCTAACACCAAATGAAGGAGGAAAGCCACCCAAGCTTCCCACAGAATCGTGAAATTCCATGAATTATTCTTGCTTTAAATAGATAAGCTGGCAGGGGGCATTGTTATATAGTTGATAACTGAACCAGAAATTTGCATTTGGGTGTAGTATGCTGCTGCAACGAAAATTAAAACAAACAGACAACCAAACAGCAAAAGACATTGAGTTTGGATCTGAGAGACCTGAATGGCAGAGAGAAGGCTGGAAAGGGAATGCGGGAGTATGTATTGGAGGCTTGATAAAATATAAATAATGTTATTTACTACCATGAAAAAAAAAAGATTGAAAAAGTTCCAAATGGACCTTGGATCTAAATGTGTTTCCAGGCAGAAAGTTGCCATTTGGCTTATGTTCACTGTCTGTAATTAAACACGTGTAAAGAAGAATGACCTAAAAAAGGAACTGTTTGGTTTTCAGGTGAATCTTCTGGAAATTTCTCCAACATGACTTGTATGGTTGAAAAATAAAACTGTTTCTTGTTACCAGGCTTTTTATCTGGCCGCCTTAAGGAAGAAATGAAATCTAGGGTGCTGCCAGTTAAAAAAATGCTTAGGATCAAGATGAAGTCAAGTGTGTGGCTATTTGACTCTTTATAACAAATTCTGAAATATTAATGGCCATACCTCCTAGAACCTGTGTGCTAAAGTTCATAAGGATACACTTCATTGAGTCATTCAGAGAGACAATAAACCTCTATAAATTGTAATAACTTTAATCCACAGCTACTAACTCTCAGGCAAATGTAGAGAAAGACCTGCCTCACAGTATAATATAGAGGTTCTAGGGTGCAGCATTATGGACATTTCTAAAGCAATAATAGTATGGCCATTTAAAGATTCAAAAATTCATATTTAGAACTCAGAAGGGGTCTTTAAAATCAGCCAGTGAGGAAGTACATGCAGCCACATGAAGGGATTTACCTAAAGAAACCCTGAGGAAACTGTCCCTCAGTCAGAACTGAGTTCCTGATGGGCAGCCTGTGCCACACTGTCAGGCATGCCAGCCATAATGCCAGCCTACCCACCAGCAAGCAAAACAGAAGAATATCAGATCAAACCAAAGAATCATAAAAAATAGTTAGCAATCAGAATTTCCTTAGTAGGTGGATGGATAAATAAACTTTGGTATATCCAGACAATGAAATACTATTCAGTGCTAAAAAGAAATGAGTTATAAAGTTTGAGAAGACATAGAGGTAGCTGAGGTGCAATATTACTAAGTGAAAGAAACCAGTCTGAAAAGCCCACATGCTGTATGATTCCAACTACTGAATATGCTGTTCTGAAAAAGGTGAAACTACCGAGAGAGTAAGAAGGTCTGTGGTTCCCAGAGGTTAAGAGGGAGGGAGGGATGAACGGGCAGAGCACAGAGGATTTTTAGGGCAGTGCAGTTACTCTGCATGATACCACAATGGTGGATACATGCTATTATAGAATTGTCCAAACTCATAGTATGTGCAACACCAAGAGTGAACCTTAAGGTGAACTATTGACTTTGGGAAATAATGATGTGTTCATCATTGTATCAACTGTACCACTCTGGTGGGGGATGCTGATAATGGGGGAGGCTGTACATGGGTGGTTGCAGAAGGTATATGGGAACTCTGTACTTTCTGCTCAGTTGTGCTATAAGCATAAATTGCTCCAAAAGTAAAGTATTTCAATACATATTTATTTTGAACTTCAATATTTGGACTGTTTTTTTCTCCAAGTAATAGATAATTGAAATAAGGACCAAAGTAATTTGCATAAAAATACAATAAAATTTTAGGTATTTAATTTATACTTAAATTATTACCCATCAAATATGCTGCATCTCCTCCTGTTCATAGGGCTCATCACTATTTTTGATAATGTTGACTACAAAAATCAGTAAATTAATATGGGTGTGTTTGTGTGTGTGCACGTGTGTGTTCACTCCTTGCTGATTTATAGCCCCCATTAGAAGATGTAACATGCTCATATCAACCCATCCATATGTGAGTGTGGCAGATTATTAGAATAAATGATACGTGACTGTCTGGGGATAATTTTCCTCTCCTGATCTCTTTTATGCTATTCCTAACTACAGTATCTGTTCTAGGAAAAAAAATGATGATTTTCAGTCACTTCTTCGCAATCACAGCTCTCTTAATGGACTTTAGATGATGTCTCCTCTTTTATACTTGTATGCTATGAAAGTGATACACAATAGCACTTTGATGTATTTAAACTTTATAAGGGATATTATATTAAATTCTGTATGATTGCATTTTGTTCAATACTATATTTGTGAGATTCATACACATTCAAAGCAATTAAAATGAACAAAATAGAGCTATCTGCATTTGTGTATGAGTTTTTATCCATTATTATTTATTCATTGTTCATCTGAAAAAATGAAAACTGTTTCCAAATGGTTCTATAATAAGCAATACTGTGAGGATTATTACTGTTCTTCCTCCTGTTGCTCATATGGGAAATTTTTCTAGTGCCTCTACCAGAACTGGAATTGCAAGATTCGATTTATGTATATCTTCAATTAATTTATAGTGTCAAATTTTCTCCAAAATAAATTTATCATTTATACCCCCAACAGACGCATGTGTTTTTGTTTCTGCATAGATTAATCAACCACTGGTATTATCAGATTCTATAGCATTTGCCCAACTGGTGTCTAGTAAATTTATCTTACTGTTATTTTTTCTTGATATATAGATATACGTTTGTTTGAATTTTAACATACACAGTATACGGATACGCACTGTGTGTGTTTGTATGTGCAGTGTATTAAATAAAAATAAAAACAAGTGAAATGGAATAATAAACACCCAATTCAAGTGAGTGTTTACCTGTGATGGGGAGGAAGGGGAGTGAATCTAGAGAGATGGTGCTTGGAGTGCACACATACATCAGTAATATTCTGTTTTTTATTAAAGTTTATTACCTGAGGGTGCATTAATGCAATGCGTTAGATTAATTTTGTATGTCTTAATAGTCTGAAGTATTTCAAATTTTATTTTCATAAACATAATAGAGGATCATTGTGGCAGATACTCTCACTTAACTACACTTGCCTATTCTCATCATGAAAATTGTCAAAGCCAGATTATTTCTTTCCTAGCCTCCCTTTCTGTTATTGATGGTCACATAGCCAATGTTGTCAGAGTAGTGATATGAGAAGTTTTCTGGGTATTCACACCACATCTTCTTTATCTATTCATTTGTTGATGAACACTTAGTTTGCTTCCATATCTTGGCTATTGTGAATAATGCCACAATGAACATGGGAGTGTAGATATCTCTTTGACATACAGATTTTGATTTTGGGGATATATACCCAGGAGTGAGGATGCTGAATAATATAGCTATTTTATTTTTAGTTTATTGAGGAACTTCATATTATTTGCCAAAATGGCTGTACTAATTTACAGCCCCACCAACAGTGTAGTATGCAGCCTCAAAAAAAAAAAAAAGGAAATTCCATCATTCCTGACAACATGAATGAAACTGGAGGACATTGTTCTAATTGAAATAACTGGAAGATGAATACTGTACAGTCTCACTTATATGTGGAATCTAAAAAAAACTTGACTTCCTAGAAACACAAAGTAGAAATGTGATTACCGGAGGCTGAGAGAAAGGCAGAGGGAAGCGAACACGGAAAATGTTGATTAAATAGTACAAAGTCTCAGAGTGGAGAAATGTTGCTTCACTGATACATTACACTACATCATGACCACAGTTAAAAATAATGTGTTGTAAATTTCTAAAGTGCTAAAATAATAGGTTTTAACATTCTTATAGCACTAAAAATAGTATTTGTGAAGTGATGAGTATGTTAATTAGCTTGATTGACTCTTTCTACAATGTATACATAGATCAACCTATCTATCTTCCAACATTTCTTATCTAAGGTCTATCAAGTTGCCAGATTTCTGGTATCAGCCCCAATTTAAATTAATTTAAATTAATTAAATTAATTTGAGAATACTCATTAAAGTTTTTCTTTTACATGTTCTTTTGGTCAGCAACTGTAATACATAATCTAACAGTTAAGTGGGAAAAACACATGCTACTATCACAATCATATTGAAACCAAATCGTTGGTATATTGTTGCTCAGTCAGTTTTACTGACATCCTGGTAATCAGTCATGATTTGAATGGATAATCATATATATGGCAGAATTTCAAGATCATCTAGCACACCAAGGGTCAGTACAGCTATCCGCTGTTTGTCAATGACCTGATGGAAGATATCACGTAGCTCTCTCCCTGCTACAGTTAGAGGCTTGGCTAGCTGAACAAAACCTATCTTCTTGCTTTTTTTATTTTTATTTTTACTTATTTATTTATTTATTTATTTTGAGATGGAGTCTCGCTCTGTCGCCCAGGCTGGAGTGTAGTGGTAGTGGTGCGATCTCGGCTCACTGCAAGCTCTGCCTCCCGGGTTCATGCCATTCTCCTGCCTCAGCCTCCCGAGTAGCTGGGACTACAGGTGCCCGCTACCACGCCAGGCTAATTTTTTGTATTTTTTGTATTTTTTTTTTTTTTTAGTAGAGACGGGGTTTCACCATGTTGGCCAGGATGGTCTCGATCTCTTGACCTCGTGATCCACCAGCCTCGGCCTCCCAAAGTGCTGGGATTACAGGCGTGAGCCACCATACCTGGCCTATTTTTTTATTATACTTTAAGTTCTGGGGTACATGTACACAACTTGCAGGTTTGTTACATAGATATACATGTGCCATGTTTGTTTGCTGCAGCCATCAACTCGTCATTTACATTAGGTATTTGTCCTAATGCTATCCCTCCCCCAGCCCTCAACATCCCGACAGGCCCTGGTGTGTGCTGTTCCCTGCCGTGTGTCCATGTGTTCTTGCTGTTCCACTCCCACCTATGAGTGAGAACATGCGGTGTTTGGTTTTTTGTCCTTGCAATAGTTTGCTGAGAATGATGGTTTCCAGCTTCATCCATGTCCCTGCAAAAGATAGGAATTCATCCTTTTTTATGGCTGCATAGTATTCTATGGTGTATATGTGCCACATTTTCTTAATTCAGTCTATCATTGATGGACATTAGGGTTGGTTCCAAGTCTTCACTATCATGAATGGTGCCATAATAAACATACGTGTGCATGTGTCTTTATAGTAGCATGATTTATAATCCTTTGGGTATATACTGGATAATGGAATCACTGGGTCAAATGGTATTTCTAGTTCTAGATCCTTGAGGAATTGCCACACTGTCTTCCACAATGGTTGAACTAGTTTACAGTCCCACCAACAGTGTAAAGGCATTCCTATTTCTCCACATCTTCTCCAGCATCTGTTGTTTCCTGACTTTTTAATGATTGCCATTCTAACTGGCATGAGATGGTATCTCATTGTGGTTTTGATTTGCATTTCTCTAATGACCAGTGATCATGAGCATTTTTTCATATGTCTGTTGGCTGCATAAATGTCTTCTTTTCAGAAGTGTCTGTACATATCCTTCGCCCACTTTTTGATGGGGTTGTTTGTTATTTTCTTGTAAATTTGTTTAAGTTGTTTGTAGAATCTGGATATTAGCCCTTTGTCAGATGGGTAGATTGCAAAGATTTTCTCCCATTCTGTAGGTTGCCTGTTCACTCTGATGGTAGTTTCTTTTGCTGTGCAGAAGCTCTTTGGTTTAATTAGATCCCATTTGTCTATTTTGGCTTTTGTTTCCATTGCTTTTGGTGTTTTAGTCACAAAGTCTTTGCCCATGCCTATGTCCTGACAAAATCTATCTTCTTTCAAAGCAGTGAGAATTATTATTCCAGTGGACTTCTATTCTTATAGATCTGTCTTGCATTTAAACTCTTTGTTCTACTTGAGATCATTGATAATTTTGTTTAGGTACTACTGCCATCTCTAGGTTATGTGCTACAGGATCACTTGTCAATGGACTGTCCACTTTGTAATGGCTCTGAACATGTACATTTTTTTTCTGACTGGTGAGCGCAGGGAAACACTGTCACTCCTCCATTAGGGGAGCGTTTTGAAGACGGATTGTTTCTGTCCTGAGAGATGACTTATAGGCATGGCTGGGGGCGTGCCATAAAATCCACCTTTTCTTTGTTTACTGTTATTTCCAGAGACTTTATTTTATATTTGACTTCCTAAATCTAATTATTTTATGGCCTCTTCTTTACTATATAAACTTAATATTTCATAGTACAGGCATTATCATTATTATCTTGATAATGCTTGCAACTTTTCTCTGCAGTAACTCAGACCATGTTTCTGTAGGTGTCATATATTTTCTCATTTCAGGAAGGCCTTTTTAATTTTAGACTGGAATTCTTTTTTTTATGTCAGATAGCAATGAATTAGCTCTGATATTTTCCAATGCATATTCCAACTGGATTGAATAGATTGCTTTGATCACCTAGTTGGATGTGATAGAATATTTTTAGACATTTGTAGCTTGCTCATTTTCACATTTAAATGATTTAATTAACAAAATTTATTTGATTTCCGTTGTTCCGTTCAATATAAAATGCTGGAACTATTGCAGCTGCCTTTTGATACAAAAAAACAGGAGAATGGACATGACATAAGAATGCTGCCACAGGAAACCTTTGTCTCTTCAAGAATGGATAGCAGCCATAGAGGAAGATGATTTCAAATGTCTCAAGGCTGCTTCTAACTGGCAGGACTTAATTTACTTCAGGAACTGTGGTTGCAGAGGGCAATACTGTGTTAGTAATCATTCAAAGAGGCAAAATGAAAGAATCTCATCTGATGCACCCAATCAAAACTGTCTACTGCAGATATTTATGCTCAGAATGTCTTTTTTTTTTTTTTTTTTTTTTTTTTTTTTTACTATTTATAAGTTATAAATAGCAACTCTAAAAGAGTCATTCTTTATGAGGTCATTGCTAGGCACTTTCAATTGTCACATACACCACATTTGCATGCATTTACACTTTTGATTTCAGAAAAGGGTCTACTGGCTGCTGGGGTCACCAATGGGCTCAAATTGTGATGGAATATGTATAATTAATTACCCAGTATGTAGGGTGTTGAAAAAAATATACTGGATAAAATAAAAATGGATGGCAGGAATTTGTAGATAGCCAGTATTTTTTATATTAACCTCATTATCTTTTCTCAAATTGTCAAACTGCATAAATGGCAATGGACACACTTGAGTTTCTGAATGGATTCTGCATCCCACAGCAGCAACAACCAATTTAAAATTCAACATGTTATTGGTTTGCAAAATAGTGCTCATTTTGTTGTACCAATTTTATGTCTTAATTCTAGAAATATTTAAATAGTTCTTTGAAAAGAGTGGTAAAATAACTTGTACACTATGGCCTTAGATGCTTTCAAATTTAACTGATTTATCAACAGTGAGTTTTTAAGTCATTCAGCAAAATGGTTGTCTTTTTAATCATTGCAATGCTGTAGCTAAAGGCAAGTGATCAAGATGATAAAAGTATTTCCAAGCATGTTTTATTCATTTGACCAAAATGTTTTATTGCTTAAAATATTAGGTCTGTCTGTTATTTGTAAAATAAACAAATGATCTAATTGGGATTTAATTACATATTGCTTTTATACATACTACTTCACTTCTTGTCTTGCTATGAGTAGTATATTTATATACACATCCCTAAAATTACAACCAAGACAAAAATTAGAAAATAAAAATAAAAAGATGGTAGTAGCAACAGATTTGCAAAAGTGATTGAGGGTTTAATGATTCATAATGACTTGGCAAATTCATGAGTAGTAATTTAATCAAAACGTTATTGCTGACATAATTGTGTGCTCAATTAACTTTCATAATATGAATAAAATCTGTTTGCTTTGTACATTTCTGATTTGTTATCTTAACTGACACATGATTCTGACTGAACGTTTCTGTAATAAGAAAAAAAAAAGTCTCTCCAGTGATCATTTTAAAATAAGTTCAATGTTATATAGTATTGAACAATGTCTATGTCATTTCCAAAACCTACATGTAATTACTTTTGTCTATGAGGTTTAGCCATTTTAGATATTTGAAAGTTTTGAAAAAATAGACATTTATTAAATTGAATGTTAATTTAATAAATTTAGGGTGGTGATTGCTCAAAGACCTAAAGTCAGAAATATCATTAGTCTAGAATTCCATTACTAGGTATATACCAACAAAAATATAAATGATTCTGTTTTAAAGACACATGCATGGTGTGTCTAAAATAATTCTATTTTAAAGACATATGCATAGCAAAGACATGGATCTAATAAATAACAAAGACCTGAATGCCCATCAGTGATAGACTGGATAAAGAAAATGCGGTGTATGTACACCATGGAATACTATGCAGCCATAAAAACAAATGAGATTTTTGTCCTTTGCAGGGACATGGATGGACCTGGAGGCCCTGATGCTTAGCAAACTACCACAGGGATAGAACACCAAATACCACATATTCTCAATTATACGTGGGAGCTAAATGATGAGAATACATGAGCACATAGAGAGGAACAACACATACTGGGGCCTTTTGGAGCATGGAGGGTGGGAGGAGGGAGAGGGTCAGGAAAAATAACCAATGGGTACTAGGCTTAATACCCGGGTGATGAAATAATCTGTAAAATGAATTCCCATGACACAGGTTTACCTATGTAACAAACCTACATATGTACCCCTGAACTTAAAATAAAAGTTAAAAATAAATAAATTCCTTATCTCTAATAATATAATCCTTGTCCCTGTTAATGATGGCTGAATAAATTTGGTCTTCCTTCACACATTTACTGGTGGACATGTGCTGTTTGTTAGCTACTTGTTCAACCATGAGTTTTAGGGGGAAAGTAGAAGAGTGCACTCATCTTCCTATGTTGACACTCAGTTTTCAAGAGATCATGCCAAATAACCTTAGGTTATCATTATTGCATTTTTTTTTTTTTTAAGATGGAGTCTTGCTCTGTCGCCCAGGCTGGAGTGCAGTGGCGGGATCTCGGCTCACTGCAAGCTCTGCCTCCCGGGTTCATGCCATTCTCCTGCCTCAGCCTCCTGTGTAGCTGGGACTACAGGTGCGTGCCACCATGCCTGGCTAATTTTCTGTATTTTTAGTAGAGACGGGCTTTCACCGTGTTAGCCAGGATGGTCTCGATCTCCTGACCTCGTGATCCGCCCGCCTTGGCCTCCCAAAGTGCTGGGATTATAGGCGTGAGCCACCACACCCGGCCCATTATTGCATTTCTTAAGGAAACAAGTTGATGCCACTGAAAACCAGAAGACTCTACAAAACAGTTGTGGCTAAAATAAGCAATTAATCAAATAATATATAGATAGTGAGAAAAGTAAGTTACTATATAAAAGCAAGAAAAAAATAACCAAATAAAATATTCCATATAATTATGATAAAAATAAATTGTATAAGTGATAGAAACAGTTACACTTTATGAATATGATGCAGATGTAAAGAAACTGCCCAGTATTTAGCAGAAAATTGTAAAGAGATAGAAAACCTGAAATATATTCAGTGGTTAAGAAGAAAAAAAATTCTGTTTCTGTATAGAATTTTTGTGGATCAAGGCAACGCAATAGTACAGTTGCAACATCTAGATAAATATGTTATTATGTTTATTATGTTATTATTATGTATATATAAACATAAAATGATATGTATATGTGTGTATATATGTATACATGTATATAACCATAATGTTGTATGTATATAAACATAATAATTTTATGTTAATATACATATATACATACGCACATACACACACATACATATACAGATGTATGCACAAAGAGATGTACATACTCACATACATGACCTTTGAACAAAGCAGAGTTAGGGGCTGTGACACCCTGCACAGTTAAAAAATCTGCATATACTTTTTGACTCCGCAGAAACTTAACTATTGGTAGCCCATTTTTGCCTGGAAGCCTAACCAACGACAAATAGTCAATTAACATATATTTTGAATGTTACATGCACTATGTATTCTATTCTCACAATAAAGTAAGGTAGACAAAGGAAAATATTATTAAGAAAATCATGAGAAAGAGAACATATATATATTATTCATTAGCTGGAAGTGTATCATTATTGAAGGCCTTCATCCTTGTCATCTTTATGTTGAGTAGACTCGGGGACGAGGAAGAAGAGGGGTTGGTGTTGTTATCTCAGGAGAAGCAGAGGTGGGAAGAAAATCTGCATCCAAAATCTGCATCCAAGTGGAGCCTTGCAGGTCAAACCTGTGTTGTTTAAGGATCAACTGTATACATTTAAAGATACCTCCAAGCTGTGGAAGCCAAGAGGAAAAATGGCTCAGTTCCTGATTTAGACCAAGCCCATATTTAGAGTTCAGATACAGAAGAAGGATCTAGAAAAGAAGACTGGAAATGCATAACAAGAACTAGGAAAGCTGAATTCCAAGGAGGTAATAACCCTTCTGAGGCTAATGGACTCTTGCCAGCCATTTTCATCAATGGGGGCACTGGCCAGTGCTGGATATGACCTAAGAATAATGCTTGTCTCAAACAGAGGGTCTGCTGGGGGACAGAAACTACCGATGTTTTAAGGGGCTATTACATAAGGCTATTTGGCCACTTAGGAGATAAAGGCTACACAACTGTACAAATGGTTGTGGTAAGCAGGCCCAAATTGAGGTATGGAGTTATGCAGGAGCCTACTGACCTCTGCAAGAATCTTTTAAAAGGCAAAGAGAAATCTGCAGTTATTCACTATCAAACATACAAAATCCTACTAGAGGGAGGGGCCTGACAAATACAAAGCTGTTCAACCCCCTAAAATGTTGGCCAATTTGGATTCTGTCTGAGGAGGGAGGCTAAATAACTGAGCTTGAAAGCTTCAGAAGTCTTAAACGAATCTCTTTCAGTACGTCAGAGTCAAAAGACAAAGACTTATAAGGTTTGATAAAGAAATCCAAGTCCAAGAAACAGGGGAGAGATGGAAATATATATTTTTAAGGTGTAAACAAACACCAGCCAAGCTCGTATACAAATTAGATCGAAGTGATCAGTCTCTTATCTGCTTAACAGAAGAAAATGGGAAAACTCTCTTGTGAAAGGGATCATCTGGCTACTCTACATTACCCAATATGCCAAGACACAGTTGTACAAAATGCACCCACATTCAAAATATTACCATATATATGTATATATATATACACAACTATATATATAGTATATACAGTTGTACAATGTGCACCCACATTCAAAATAATACTATATATATGTATATATGTGAGATATTGTTATTGATAAGCAAAAAAATAGCAACAATATAGAGTTAGCAGCCAAGGATTTTGAAATAGCCATATTTTATATTAAAGAAAATAGAAAAATGTGGACAAAAGAGGTGAATAATTAAAACATTCCAAAGTGAATTCAAATCTGTAAATTATAATGACTTTTGGTAAGGGGTTGACTAAAACTTAATAAAATGATATTACATAAACTTCAAATATAATAATAATCTTCTCTGTAGCCAAAGAAGAAAGCAACTTCAAGCTGAGAAACCTGGAAAAACAAAGTTAATTTCCATTCTCTAAATGAACTTTTTACTAGTATCTTAGCCAAAAAGTCCAGCCAATTTACACATGAACAAAATTAACTACAAAACCAACAATGTAAAATCTCCAATAAGTTACTACAAAGAAAAAAGTTTAAAAATAGGAATCAAACAATTTTGGTAGGGAAAAAAAAATGTCAGAATAAAAACACTTCCAGATGTAAAAGAACATCACAACACATGAGCAGTGAGAAAAGAGAAGACCAAACAATATGACTAAAAGGATTTAAGTCAAAAATTAAAGAAAAAGGTAAAAGTGGAACCAAAGTAAAAGTTATATTACAGGGGGAATAGATTTGATCGTAGAGATGTTAAATAATATAGAGTATGAACATTACAGAAGTTATGAAAGTAAAAAGGAAATGAAACAGTTAAAATACATCAGAATGAATTTCAAACTATAGATAGCCAAAGACAAGCTACCATGTATATAAATGAGTTCTTAAGGATAAAAAATAGTATGAGGTTAATAATTTAAATGATACTAAAAATATTGGGAAAAACAGGACCTACATCTACATTTTGGCAGTACACACCATGTACAAGAGAAAATAGACCTATAACAGTCAACTTGAGAAATATCCTAATAGGATTATTATAGAATACATGAAACAAAAAAAGTATTAGTGGATGCTAGGTATAAGAGTATGTCATTAAATTTAGGACAGAATAACAGACAAGTCTGAGATAACCCCTAAAATGGCTACTAATCTTGGTGAAAATATATTCCGAATTTTTCAAGTGATCAAGTAACAAATTGATTTGTTCAATTTTATTTATATTGATATATTTTCATTATTTTAACCTAAAAATACTACAGTATACACAGTTCTCTGCAATAGTTTCTCTTTTTCCTTCCGTTTTACTATTTTACCATGAACAATACACTTATCCAGAAATGATGCTTTAAAAAAAAATAGTTGAGTATATGTTGCTATCATATAGATCTAACACTGACTAGCCATTTTAACTTTTATCTATAATTAATGTATTTAATGCTATTGAGAAACATATACTGAGTAATTATTATGTTGGGGGCACCGTGTTGTAGTTCTTGGTGATATAGAAATGGATGAGAAAACCACGTGTCCTTTTGTTGTTAATCCTTCCAGCTGGAAAGACAGAAAACAAGTTTTTTTTGTTTGTTTCTTTGAGACAGGGTCTCGCTCTGTCACCCAGGCTGGAGTGCACTGGCGCAATCTCTGCTCACTGGAACATCCGCCTTCTGGGTTCAAGTGATTCTCCTGCCTCAGCCTCCTGAGTAGCTGGGACTACAGGCATGTGCTTCCATGCCTGGCAATTTGTCTTTTTATTTTTTTATTTTTTTTTATTTTTGGTAGAGATGGGTTTCCCCATGTCAGCCAGGCCAGTCTGGAACTCCTGGCTCAAGGATCTGCCCACCTCGGCCTCCCAAAGTGCTGGGAATACAGTCATGAGCTACCATGCTGAGCCAATTAAAAAAAAATCCTTGATGAGTGCTATAAGGAATTAAAACCACATAATGAGATAGTAAGTGACTGAGGGTCAGGTTGAAATAAGTCCCTTAAGGCAGGCTTGCATTTTTGAGGAGATGATATTGAAATTGAGACCTGAATGATGAAAAGCAGTCAAGCAGGAAACAATCTGGGAAGAGAATTCCAGGTAGAGAGAAACAATCACAATTATTCTCAATAGAAAAATGTTTGACATGTTTGAGGAAAACAGGAAATGATGGTATTTCCAGCAAATGCTGAACAAACTATTTGTAGTCCAGAGAGAGAAGCAAGGGTAGATTATAGGGCTATAGAGGACCATTAGTCTGCGGTAAGGAATTTGGATTTTATTCAAATTTTCTGTGGAAGTTATTTCAAGACTTTTTAAAAAGTTGACATTTACATATTTAACTGGTTCTCATGTGGAAATTATATTTAGAAGAGGTTCCTCTGAAAACCAGGAAACCAGGTAGGATTAAATCGCCCAGTTGAGTGTTGACTAAGATGGCAGTAATAGAAAAGAGGAAAAATCATCACATTTTCTATAAGTTGTATGGCGAGTTAATAGAACTTGCTGATAAATCAGATATAGATTAAGAAGGAAAGAGAGGAATTAAGCATGATTGACACATTTCGGGTCTGTACAAATGTATAAATAACATTAAGTAAAAAATGGAAGCTCTGAGAATGAGAGTGGGGATGTGTTTTGGATGTAGGAAGTTTGAGATACCAATTAGACATCCATGTAGAAAGGTCAAGTCAACAGCTTGATGGAAGCTTGGTGGAATTTGAATATAAATTGGAGAATCAATCCGCATACAGATGGTATTTGACAGTATGAGACTTGGTGAGATCAATTTGGAAAATTGGTGTCAATAGGAAAAAAATAATAATAATGAAAAGGAAGCTTGAATCTTAAGCTTAGGTCAAAACAGTATTAAGCAGTTCATGCAGAAGAGGTGACATCAGAGAGACCACAAACAGGAGGAAATCTAAAGGAGGAAAGAATTCAAGAATGTGGGAGTGGTCAACTATGACAAATCCTGCTGTGAGGCTGAGTTAGAAGACAGAAGGTGATTTACCACTGGGCTTGACAAAGTGTGAAACACAGTGATTTTTAAAAGAGTCCTTTTCATTAAGGGCCAGATAAATGATTTGGAGGACCCAGTGAAAAATAAAAATGTAGTACTCTTATTCGAACAACATGAATAATTTTTTCTTAAGGGTATCAAAATATAAGACATTTTTTCTTTCTGTCACAGTTTCCCTCTTAGCCTGCCATGATGTTTTTTGCTATTTAATGTTGCATTACCTTGGCAAGGAGATGATTGCCAAGAGAGTGCAAACACTCACAGGTGGCCAGGGGCCCATCCTGTGGCCAGGCAGGTGTATACCTAAGTGCATAGCCACCAAACCAGATCAACATGTTCACACAGAGGGAAGTGGAGGTTGAGCCAGGTAACTACCTTTCCCCAACAAGTTTTCTGAACCAGCTTTTGGTGGATGAGTGACCCCAGAACATTGCAACTTCTGCATTAGGACGTGCTTGGTATCTAGATTAGAGATGGGTGAGAGGCTTGATCACACAAGCCACCCACTGAATATGCCATCATGCTGAATGGCTGCTGCCCTGCTCTGCCCTCAGACAAGGTGGTGTATGCTTGCCTGACCTGCACTCTTTCTTCACCCAGGCCCCTGCTGAGGATGGCCACAGAGCAGAAGTAACTGGCTGGAGTGGAGAAGGAGGATGGATAGGAATCAGGGTGCCAGGGGCAAGGGCAAGAAATGGTGGAGAACACATCCCAGGGAAGCAGGAGGGTAAGGGAGGGATACTGTGTGTTAGTATGCTCAAAGATAAGCTTGTAAAAAATTGGGTCTCTCTGAGCAGACAGTCTTACATGTCTACACTGTCCCTCATCCATGAAGCTGGCTCTCTGTTCAGTGAGTTAGAAACTAACTTCTTAATTGAGTAGACTGGGGCATGCTTGTTATTCTTGTGATGTGACCATTTTGTGTTTTCAATAGGTTTTTGTTTTTTGAGACAGAGTCTCACACTGTTGCCCAGGCTGGAGTTCAGTGGTGTGATCTCTGCTCACTGCAAGCTCACCTCCCAGGCAGCAATTCTCCTGCCTCAGCCTCCCAAGTAGCTGGGATTACAGGTGCCCGCCACCACACTGGCTAATTTTTGTATTTATGGTAGAGATGGGTTTTTGTCCTGTTATACAGGATGGTCTCAAACTCCTGACCTCAGGTGATCTGCCCGCATTGCCCTCCCAAAGTTCTGGGATTACAGGTGTGAGCCACCGCATCTGGCCTTCAATAGGTTTTTAATTTATTTTCTTTAATTTGGCCCCTCTGAATGAAACTCCAAGTTCCATTGTTCCTTTTGTCAGCAGCAGCTGAGACACACGCTGAGCTTCTTGAGTTTATCAGGTATTGTTTTCTTCTGAGCTTCTTGTAATCTCACCTGCATTTGTGTAATTTAGTGGACATAAAAAAATTGAAGGATATTTATTAGAAGAATTTGGAATATTTCTCCAATGTAAGAATTTGGCTCTCAACTCACAGGGGCATCGATGAGCTTGGATTCCGTATCTTTTTTTTTTTTTTTATGCCGAATTTGTTCCTTTCTGTTCACCTCCAGCTGCCCCATGATTCCAGCACCACAGTTCTTCTAGGACTAAATCATCTGAAGGAAGAAACTACTTTTGGTAAAAATCTAGTGCCTTCAAATAGTTGGGCTTTATTGGTTTGGTGTATAATATTTTACATCTGTAGGAAGGTTAGTCCTATATAAATTATTCTGCCATTAATAGAGCTAAGACTTCATTGGATTCTTTGTTTAAAGAAATTGAAGAAGAAACCTGGGAGATGCTTTATATGTACATACAGACATACACACATGACATTTTCCTGTGTGTGTACATGTATATATATATATACATATACATACACACGTGTTTATGTATATATTTATGTATACATATACACACACACAGGGACAAATAATGTTACTGACCTTTATATCTTTTTGCCTAAATTTTAGACAATGTTTCTGGAGGTAGGGAGATCATTTTGTGGCCATAGAGCTCCAAGCATGATGAGTTCAGAAAGCCAATATGCTAAGGATGGCAGGGAAGAATGTCAAAAATAGCTTAGGGTTTTGGGAGCTTTCTTGACACTCTAGCCTTTAAATACTCAACTGCCGACTTCTTGTTAGATGTTTAAAATGTACTAAAATGTTTTCAGCCACAATCTTTTACTTTTGTGTCACTTGTAGCTGAACAATTCTTAATGGATTCAACTATTCTCTGACAAAATGTCACAGGATGTCAATAGAAGAATACGCTGATCATTATTCTTTAAGTGGTAGTCTCATATTTCTTGGTAATGTTTCTCTTTTCCTCTGCCTCCATTTCATTATCCTTGTAAACACATGTTCCGGGTGCCTATGATATATCAAAAGAGAGGGAGAGATAGAGAGAGATTTAAAGAAGTTGGCTCAAATGCTTGTGGGGCTGCCAAGTATGAAATCTGCAGGGCAGGCCAGCAGGCTGGGAATTCCAAGAATTAATGTTGCATTCCTGAGTCAGAAGTCAGCTTGGAGGCAGAACTCTTTCCTTTTCATGGAACCTCCGTCTTTTCCCTTAAGGCCTTCAACTGGGTGTGGCCTCCCACATTATGGAGGGTAATCTGCTTTACTCAAAGTTACTCATTTAAGTATTAATCTTATTTTAAAGAGACCTAAGCAGCAACATCTAATCTATTGTTTGACTAGACAATGGGCACTATATATATGTGTGTGTGTGTATATATATATGTGTGTGTGTGTGTATTTTGTTGAATCTATGGTGTTTATTGATTTCACAAATCTAATGCAATTTCATAAATTACTATAAGCCAGGCTAATTTTGATCTTCACTTAACATCTAGTTACTTTCATATAGGAACAATAATCAAATAACATATGAATATGAGATGCAGTGCAATGCATTTGTGATGGTTGTTTTTATGTGTTGACTTCACTGGGTCACAGTGTTGGGATATGTGGCCAAACAGTAGTCTCCATATTCCTGTGAGGGTAGTTTTGGACGCAACTAATGTTTAAATAAGTGGACTCTGAATAAAGCAGATTGCCTTCCACAATGTGGCTAGGCCTCATCCAATCAGCTGAAGACATGAAGAGAACAAAAGGCTGGCTTCCTAGACATCCTCTGCATTTTAACTACAGCATCCTTCGCTTACTCTTACTTGGTCCCCTGTCTGCTGGTCCACCCTGTAGGTTTTGGACTTGCCAGACTTTAAAATCACGTGAGCCAATTTCTTAAAATAAACATCTTTCTGTAAATAAAAACATCTTGTTTGTTCCTTTTCACTGGAGAACCCTGGTAATATAACATTTCTTCCAGTTTTGAGATTATTGATCCATTAATATCTGCTATTTGATGTAGAAAAGTTAGAAAAGAAAAAACATATTATTCATGTAGATTCAAATGTGCTGTTTTTGTTATTATGGTTATTAGTTTATATGATGACATATCATTATCATTGAATTTCAGAAGTTCTGATTATCCTTTATTGTTAAAATCTTTTTGTCTTTTTAAAAAAGTTCCTTTAATTTTCACACTTTTTAAAAAATGTATTAGTTTACTCAATTCTGTTCTCTTTTTTCATTTTATTTTGATTTATTTCTTAAATTTGAGTTATTCTCATTCTAACGTTGGAAACATTACTCTGCCTTTTCTAAACAAACTTTTTCATTTTTTTTAATTTATGTCATTAAACACAAGGAAGAAGATCCTCTTCTGGATTCCAACATATAAACTGTGACACAACACACAAATACTGTTCAGGGTTCTAACATATAAACTGTTACACATCACACAAATCACATGTTCAGGCCCCAGAGGAAGGCTTCTCCAATATCCCTCACAGCAGTCTATTGGATAGTGGTAGCTTGAAGGCTTCTGTAATGTGCTACTCTTGGTATAAGAATAGACATTGTCTGCCAGGCATGGTGCCTCACGCCTGTAATCCTGGCACTTTGGGAGGCTGAGGCAGGCGGATCATGAGGTCAGGAGTTCGAGACCAGCCTGGCCAACATGGTGAAACCGTCTATACTAAAAATACGAAAAAAAATTAATTGGGCATGGTGGCGGGTGCTTGTAATCACAGCTACTCGGGAGGCTGAGGCAGGAGAATCTCTTGAACCCAGAAGGCTGAAATTGCGGTGAGCCAAGATTGCGCCATTACACTCCAGCTTGGGTGACAGAGCAAGACTCTGTCTCAAAAAAAAAAGAGTAGACATTGTCTAGGAGAGTGGTATATGTTTGAGCAGTGGAAGCCCTTAGGTAAACACATGACATATTATTAAAGTGACAAATCTTTACTTTTAGATAACAGGAATGAAAAAGATTCTTGCATAACCTGGAATTATTTGCAAGTTTTCCTAGTTATTCATTTGATTGTTCCTTTTTGTGTCTCGATAGATGGTTCTGGAACACTTTCTGATGAAAACACTATTAACAGCTTTTTCAAATATTTCACAAAACAACTGATGCATCTAATCGAAGGGCATGTGGTTAATTATTGTACTAATGTTTCACATTTCTTTAGTTTGGGAATGTTTCAAAACGAAGAAGTTGCTGAACATTATATATAATATACTACCTTTTTTGTAAGAAAGGTAAAATAAAATATGTTTTTATTTTCTTGTATTTGCATGTAAAATTAGAAGGGAACACAAAAATAAAATTCAAGACAGTATTGAAAGATTTGAGAAACAAGTTAGAGGGGATGAAACAAGAAGGAAACTTTTTTCTAGAAGTCTTTTAATATGTACTTACTTTGAAAACATATGAATACATTTCTTATTAAGTGAAAAATAATAAGTTTATCAAACAATGAAAGGCTAAAAAGAAGCCTGGAAAATCTGTATGGCTATAGGGGGGTGAGAAAAAAGGAAAATTTGTGTGATTTAGGGGATGACCCGTCATTGGTGTATTCCATAAGTCTGTGGGTTAAATTCACTTTTTTTTTTTTTTTTTAATTTGAGATGGAGTCTCACTCTTTCGCCCAGGCTGGTGTGCAGTGGTGCGATCTCGGCTCACTGCAACCTCCACCTCCTGTGTTCAAGTGATTCTCCTGCCTCAGCCTCCCGAGTAGCTGGGACTACAGCCATGTGCCACCATGCCCAGCTGATTTTTTGTATTTTTAGTAGAGACAGAGTTTCACCATGTTAGCCAGGATGGTCTCAATCTCCTGAACTCCTGATCCGCCCACTGCAGCCTTCCAAAGTGCTGGGATTACAGGCATAAGCCACCGCGCCTGGCCTAAATTCACATATTCTTAATTTCAAACTATTGATGTGCAGCTATTTAGCTGGATGACGTTTGGTCAATTATTTCACTTCTGAACTTCAATGTCTTCATCTATGCAATGGAGAAATAACCCATAGGATAACTGAGAGGAAAAATTAAGTGATCAAAGTAAAATATTTGGAATGATGACTATTACTTATTCAGTGAAACATCCAATAAACAATAACTGTTATCATGATTACTACAATTGTATTAGATGTTATAGGAAATATGCTAAGATTCAACAAAGATTTATGAGAAGACCTATTTTAATATCACATCTTTAATTGAAAAGCCTACAGCTCTGTTAGATATATGAAGCATTTTTTGGTTCAAAAAGAAAACATGGGGATTTTTCAGGGCACCATTGCATTAATCTAGGTGAATGAAAAAGAGAACCTGGCTGTCAGAAATGCACATGGGAATGAAAAAGCAAACAAACTGAACAAATTTATAAAATATGTATGACTAAATATAAGTGTGTAAGGGTTGGAGAAAGACGAACTAAAACCTTGAAATCAGGTGTAGGAAGATGCAACTAGAATAGTGAGAAGTGTGAAAGGAGAAGGAGGAGGGCTTTGGCATTCATGTTCTGTCACTGTGTTTGGGTGAATTATTAATTATATTTTGGATATTGTATTAGTTACCTGTTACTGCTGTAACAAATTTTCAAGCTTGATGGCCTAAAACAGCACAAGCCTATAACTTCTGGATATCAGAAGTCTTAACTAGATCTCACTGTGCTAAAAACAAAGTGTTGTCAAGGCTACGATCCTTCTGGATTCCCCGGGGGATAATTCAATTACTTGCTTATCCCCGTTTGTAGAGTCTGTAAACATTCCTAGGCTCATGACTTCTTCCATATTCAAAGACAGGAGTTGGAAGCTGAGCTTTTTCATGGAGCATCTCTGGGACACTGATCCTCTTGCCTCCCTCTTTAACTTATAAAATCCCATGTAATCACATGGACCCACCCAATAATTATAGAATAATCTTATTTTAAAGTCAACTGATTAGAAAACTTGGTTTTATTTTCAACTTTAATTCCCTCTTCCATGTACCATAACATATTCACACATTCCAGGGTTACAATGTGAACATCTCTGTTTTTTTTGTTTGTTTGTTTGTTTGTGTGTTTTTGAGACAGAGTCTTGCTCTATCACCAGGCTGGAATGCTGGAGTGTAGTGGTGTGATCTCAGCTCACTGCAATCTCCATCTCCCTGGTTCAGGCGATAAGGGATTCTCCTGCCTCAGCCTCCCGAGTAGCTGGGGTTACAGGCACATACCACCACATCCAGCTAATTTTTGTATTTTTAGTGAGACGGGGTTTCACCATGTTGGCCAGATGGTCTGCATCTCCTGACTTTGTGATCTGCCCACCTCAGCCTCCCAAAGTGCTGGGATTACCTACAGGCTTGAGCCACTGTGCCCAGCCCCCGCAGGGTTGTAATGTAAACATCTTTAGGGGACCATTATTCTGTTTAAAACAGATATGCTGTATATGAAGCTATTATATTGTTTGTCATTAATTTAAAAGATTCTCATGGTTAAAATGACAGCTATAGAGGGAAATAAAGAAATATAAAGCAGGTATTCATGGATGAAAGCAATAAGTGCTGGAAGACCCAGACTTCTCCAATAAGCCTTATTATTTTATATATATATATTTTTTTAATGAAAGCATAATTGATATTTTATATACAAATGTATTCAATGATTTCCACATAATTATAACATGAATCTTTTTAGAGATTTAAAAATCAATTAAAACCTAAGAACATGGCACTCTAACATCTAAAAATCTACCTACGATGTGGTAATAGTAACCAATAAATAAAATGTTTTAATAAAATATAAATCATTTAAAATGTATCTGATGCATACAATTCTTATAAAATTTTTGCACAATAATTCTATGGAATAAGTTCAAATAATTTCATACTTTTAATGGCAGACACTTAATTTTAAGATGTTTCATGGATCTATGAATGTTGAAAGTTATAAAGATTCTCTTTCTCTTCATTAATAATTTATCTATTTTAATTTCTAGCTCTACATAAAGCATAATTTTAAATTCCAAGGCTTACAGCTCTGGGATGGGAAGTGTATTATGTTTATTGTTTTGTAGTATGTGTTTTCATGGTATCATTTAAACTCTAATTATGCATGAAATTATATTGGATTTCTCTCTAAATGCAAAGGAAGAAATGTTTTTATGATTCATTCTTTCCTTAGTAAACATTTCTAAAACTGTATTGCTGATACAGCTCATCAACTAAACCTTTTGAGAAATGAAATGTATGGGAGGAAAACACTAATTAGGGAGGTTTTCTTTTTCCTTCAAATACACATGTGAAACTCCCATTAATATCAATCACAAGAAGATGTCTTTCTGCCAAATACCCCTAGGTAAGAATGCACAATTTCCCTTGCCTTTCAAATTAGAAATACAATACTTTTTTTTTTCATTTAAATTGTTAACAAGCCGCATTATATTCTTTATCCAGAACTTTGGTTTCCATAACACTGTATACAATCTTGAGCAGTTCAGATGATATTTACAAATAAAATGTGTTTCTTTAAAGTGATATTTTGAAATAATTTCCTTTATATTAGTTTTGTATTTGCCAAACTGCATCTTCTCTGTAACTGAATTTTTCATTGAATTTTAGCCAAGATTTATCATTAATTTTATGTAACTATAGCTTGCTTGATTGTATTATATTTAAACGATTATGTTTGAATGAGTATTACAATATAGACTACACGGGTGTTCTCAGTAATGTATAAACACTGCAGTGCACTAGTATATGATTTATTAAATATTTAGGGATTTTTACCATGCTGTAGTAAAGTATAAAGTCATTCTCAACGCTGTAAAATATATTAATGGATGCTATTATTCTTGCTCTCAGGACAAAAAAAAAAAGAGAACAAAGCTAGTCAGGAGTTTGAGGCAGGAGGATTGCTTGAGCCCAGGAGTTTGAATCCAGCTTAGGCAACATAGCAAGACTCCATCTCTAAATACATAATTATTTTTCAAAGGTTTTTTAAAGCAGTGTATTGTACTGGAAATACATGTAACTTAACTATGCTTAGTAGCTAGGCCTTAAAATATATGCAAAAAGAAAAGAAAATATTAAAAAACATTAACAAAGAATAATTTCTCTTGGGAATAGGCAGTAAAACTTACTTTCAATAATATACATAGACAGCTTGGGTACTACATGAACTGCTAAATATTGCACACTCAAAGATACAATGGAATATGCTGTAATTATAATATTACAGTTTATATTGATTATGTTGCTGACATCTTCAAATTTATTTGGAAGATGGACTGATTATCACTGAAGGACATGAGGTCTAATGTAAAACTTTTTTTGAATTAATATTACCCTATGCGTTCTAAGCATAAGCAATGTTACACCATTTTACCTGATTTTAGTAAACCACTCAGTTAATTAACATAGTACATAAGAGCATTGTAGATATATTTTACCCTAATCCTCCCTAACACAGCAACATGTACTTACCAAACTGGGTAACTTCACAGCAGATTTTTCCAAAAAAAAAAGAAAAAAGAGGTTTAAAAAGTGACACAATAGACTTTTGTTTTCAGTTCCAACGTGTCAAGAGCTTGAGAAACTGTCAGTCCTATCCTTACAAGAACAAAAACGAAAAGCTGGAAAACTGAAAATTAATGAGAATGAAATTGCAGGGAACACTACCACACCAAAATCTGGAGACAGGAGAATCCAGAGCGTCACAGCCAAGATCTGTTTCACTGGAGCACAAACTGCTGGAACTTAGGGGAATACTTAAATGAAATTTTGACAGATTGCTGGAGGCTGAGTGCAGACTAGCTTGAGAATGAGAAACTCTGGAAGCTGCAATCTTAGGAAGTGTCCTATACTTTCATGAGATCCAGGAACCCCACCAAAATCCCATGATTAGGAGCTGATAAAGACCCCCCTATGACTCTGGCAGTGGTCGAGAAGGAGTCATCTTTAGGACAGAGTCCCAGAATCTAGTCCACAACACAGACCTACTCCCCAGGAGGGGAGGCTTCACCAGAACCTTGTTGCCGAGCTGTGGGGAAAGAATATTCTCCTCTTCCTCACCCTGTCTAAGCTTCCTGTCACACCTAAGGATGAGAAAAGCTATACTAAAAGAAAATCTTGTAGATGTCACAGGGTAGAGACACAGGCCAATTAAAAGACTGGTATTTAGTTGGAAGGTTACAGAACACGTCCCCTCTCACATAGGATTAATGCCAACAGGGCTCCCGTATAATAATGGTGGATTGCAGCTAAAAGAGCTGCAAAACAGAGGCTCTCTGAAGAAGAGTATTTTAGGAAACTCATAGTCAAGAGGGAAGACAAAGTAAAAAGACACTAGAAGAACTTCAAGTCATTGGAACCTCTTACTACAGCATCCACTAAACAACACTCAACTCCTAGCAGATTAACATTAATTCTCATACTATCAGTATATTTACTTCAGTTCCTATTATCCAAAACATGTCTAGTTTTCAACAAAAATCTAAAATATCTGTGACAATGAAGAAAAAGTGAAAACAAACACAAGATAACACAGTCTGAAGAGGCAGAATGAGCATCAGAACCCAACTCATATATGATACACTTGGTGAGAATACCAGGCAGGGTATTGAAAACAATTATGATTAATATGTTTAGGGATCCAGGGGAGAAAGCAGAACATGCAAGAACAAATATATAATGTAAGCAGAAAGATAATAATTCTAAGAAATAATCAAATGAAAATGCTAAAAATGAAAGCACTGTCACAGAAGCGAGGAGTGTCTTTGATGGACACATTGGTGGACTTCAAACAGCTGAGGAAATAATCAACGAGCTTTATGACAGTTCCATAGAAAATTCCAAAACTGAAACGAAAAATCAATAAGAATATAAAAGCCAGAAAAGAATATTCGGAAACTTTGGGGACAATTTTAAAGATGTAATATATATATATATAATTTTCAAGAGAAATGGGAGGCAAAGAAATATTTGAATTAACAATAACTAAGAACTAGTTAAAGACAAATCGAGAAAATTCAGATGATACCAAGAATACATACAAGAAAAAAAAAGAAAAGAAAAATGTTGCTTTAAATCATATTGCATTTAAACTGTAGAAAACTAAAAGCAAAGGGAAAACCTTGAAGGAGTATAAAGATAGTGAGAAGAAGGAGCAAACAATTTCGCCTATAAAGAAACAAGAATAATAATTAGAGCAGACTTCTTGTCAGAGGTTTTTCAAGCAAGAACAGAGTGAACTGAATTATTTAAGTGTAGCAAAGAAAAAAAATCCTATGTATAATTCTATATCCAGTGAAATTATACTTTTAAAGTTATAAAATATAAGCACTTAAAAAGAGGCAAACATCACTAGTCACCAGAGATATACAATTTAAAATCACAGTGACATAGTACTTTACACTCTCTAGCATGGCTATAATCAAAAAGACATAAGAATCAGTGGCAAAGGAGTTGTAGAGAAATTGTTCTCACATGCTTCTAGTGGGAATGTGAAATGGTGCTGCCACCTTTCAAAACAGTCCTTGTAAGCTAAACGGAGAGCTACCATATGACGCAGCAATTCCTCTCCTATGTATGTCCTCAAGGGAATTGAAAGTGTATATCCTCACACAAATTTGAACATGAATGTTCATGACAGTATTATTCATCATAACTACAAAGTAGAAGCCAAGAAGCCACCCAAATGTCCGTCAAATGATGAATAGTAATAAGGTATGATGTAGTCATATAACGGAATATTATTCAGTGATAAAAATAAAATACTTTTTTATGCTACAGCATGGTTGAACTTTAATAACATTATGCTAAGTTGAAAAAGCCATTTTAAAGGTCATATATTGAATAATTCAATCTATATAAAACCTATATAAAATTGTTCAGAATAGGCAAATCTAGGCAGAAAAAAAGTAGATTAGTGGTTACAAAATGTGAAGGAAAAATAAATCTTGGGATCCCAAACTCACTAATACTAAGCCAAAGGGAAAAGCAATGCTCAGAATTGGGGTCACGCAAACCTGTCTTCCATTTTGGTTCCCAAATAAAATGGCTACGAAGATGAAAACTACATACTTCCCTCACATTTTGCCCACAGGAAAATTGTTGTGGGTCTCACTATCTTTACCCTAAAACATTTCTGTTAGTTTACCATGGCAATGTAAATTAATAGCTTATCTCCACAAGTGTGGGGACATAGGACAAAACTCAGTCATACCTCTGCCTACCTGAGACAAATGCATATCTGTTTCCTCTGCCCTACTGTCTATGGTGTATTATGTAAAAACGCAGATTCACTGAGCTAGACAAAGACATGAATGACTATTTTCCCCTACCCTCCTCTCACATGAAAATTGTGTCTCTCATTATCCCACCCTTTCCCCTTTAAATTTGAAGCCCTCAAAATCATCTTCAGAGAAAGGCCCGAAGAGAAAGACCCATCTCCCAGGCACATGTCCTTAACTTTGGCAAATAAACCTCCTAAAATAATTGAGACTTGCCTTGGTCACTTTCCTTGATTAACATCTCATAACCAAGGAGGGATCCTGAGTGAAGGTGGCTCAGGCGTGCAGGAGCTTCTCCTATGGGTGCTTGGTACCAGCTTGGGCTCTTTATAGCCCAAACCAATAAGCCCAATTTTGGTTTGGAAGTTCTTTCCTCCAGGGATCCTTAGTTGGGGGTCTGAAGTTTTATTGCTGTTAAAAATTCCCGTTTTCCTGGAAGTTTCCAGTTGCTTCCACCAGGGAAGGTGAGCTTGTCTGCTTCTTCATCGGCAGAGAGCCACCTTCAGCTTGAGCCTCATCTGTAGGTAAGGAGCTGAATTGGGATTCTGTTATGATTCTCTTTAATAACTAAAGTTAGTGTTAACAACTAGCTGGTCTTAATTTCTCCTTACATTTAGAATGCTTCAAAATGTGTAATTTGTGTGATTGTTGTTCCTTTAGCTTAGGTGTTTTGTTTGTTTCTGTGTTGTTTTCTTTCTTGTGTGTGTGTGTGTGTGTGTGTGTGTGTTTTATGTTTCAGTTCTTCTCTTATTAGATTTGACCAACTCTAAACCTCCTAGCTTATAAATCTGAAATTTTCCACTCTGAAGAGATAAGAACACCTTGCTCCCCTCAACCTTTTAGGGCATTCTCAGGTGACGAAGAATCATATGAGGATATCAGGGAGGAATGCTCTCTAAGGTGTGCAGTGGATCTAAGTAGGTTTCCCCCTCAGAAGAACACTCTTAGGGTCTAATCTCACCCAGGGGGTGCATATAAGGAGCTGACCCCTCCCATGCCTTGAGCCCCTGACACTTTGTACCAGGTAGCCATGACACAGGTGGAGCAGACCAGTTCAGGGAGTAATGGCCCTGAAAAGATACATCTGCAAGCAGCACACATTGGGTCTGACACATTTCCCAACTTAGTAAAATCTGCAAGAGAACATTAAAGTATGGGGAAGGAAGCCTCTAAGTTGGCTGAAACTCCCACAGCTGCAGAACACAAAGTTCCACCCTTAGAAACTCTGGCTGGGTATATGCAAAATACTTATGGAAAATTGTCATGTGAATATTTAATCAAGTGGACCACTATAACCAAAGCAGATTCTAAGTTATATTGGCCTATCTGGGGATCTTTTGAGATGTCCAAATTAGTGTATATATTAGTCTGGTTTAATGTTGCTGATAAAGACACACCCAAGACTGGGTAATTTATAAAGAAAAAGAGGTTTAACAGACTCACAGTTCCACATGGCTGGGGAGGCCTCATAATCATGGTGGAAGACAAAAGGCATGTCTTATATGGTAGCAGGCAAAAAAAGAATGAGAGTCAAGCAAAGGAAAAAACCCTTATAAAAGCATCAGATCTTGGGAGATGTATTCACTATCATGGGAACAGTATGGGGGAAACTGCCCCCATGTTTCTCTGTTAAATATCATTCCTTCAGTGTTCCAAAGGGTTGTGGGTTGTAGTAAAATCCAGCAATGCTTCCAAAACCCAAATGAATCAGTTTTTGATTATTTTACTCACTTTAATAAAACTTTGAGGCAATATGGCAGGATGTGAGCTGACTGCTTTGAAAACAATAAAAATGATACATTATTAAATACAAATTTCTTAAACATACTAGTTGAGGATTTAACCACCCTTCTACAATGCCACATGACAAATTGGGCCATGGCCAGAACTAATAAACTAATTAACTTCGCTGACCAATTATGCCCACACTATGATAAAAAAGTAAAGCAAAAGACTGCCCTAGCTATGCATTAACAGTTAAAGCAATTAACTTTTCAGATCTTTCAGCCTCAGAAAAATTTTAAGAATTCTAAGCCCCTTCAGTCTGAGGACTCTTCCCTTCCAGTCTGTTGCTACTTTGAAAGACCAGAACACCTTAAAAGGGACAGCCTTAGGCTGAAATGGAAGCCGGAACAGGAAGGAGCAATTCAGGAAGTCTAAGGATGCTCTGAGGAAGTTAAAGGGTTTTCCCTTTCCAAATATTCTACCCCGACAAACAAATTGAAAGAGATTAATATAATAATAAACCATAAACTCTCAACTGCCTTATTGATATGGGAGCAACTCTATATGTTATAAATCCCACCTTATTTAGAAACCCCATTCCTTGGAGTAATGAAAGGATGAACATGGTAGGTGTGTCTAATAAAACTATCTCATGTTTTAAATCTAAACCTATACCTTGCTGTTTCATCAGATTTAGCTTTCCCCCACCGAGGGCTCTAAATGTGACATGCTCAGTTTGCCTCCTGTGTTCCTAATATGCCTGGGGAGCCCCATCAATCTTTTAAGCTGTGATCACCTCAACATCCATAAGGCCCATATCTATTTTTCATCAAATAGTGAACTTTTTTTAGAATTGTAGATGGGAAACTAAAACTAACAAATTTTAAAAAGTACCGATAATGTACCTTGATTTAGTACTGGTAATTTTGAAATTTCATCTTGCAACAGGGAAAGTGAAATGGAGACAAAAAAGAAAAAAGTAGAGAAGAAGAGAGAACATTGGAATAAAGGGAAGGAAATGGTAAAACTCTTTTTGGCCTCCCCAATCTTTCTGTTAACCCCAGAAGTGGAGCATTTGCTTAAGGGTGTCCCCTCCCACTTAGAGTCCCATCAAATACAGACATGGGAAAAATATTATCAGCCACTTCAATAAAGGTTGAGATAAATTCAAAGATACCCCTACCCTACCTTAAACAATATCCTTTACAGCAGACAGCCATAGATGGAATTGCCCCTATCATACAAGATTATCTTGAAAAGGGCTCGTTATTTCCTGTTCTAGCCCCTGCAACAGTCTTATATTACTGTTTTGAAAAAACAAATGGGAGAGGGTTGAGATTTTTACAAGATTTGAGAGGGCACTAAACAATATTGTAATACCCAGACACCCAACAGTCCCCAACACACATACTGTACTATCAGCTATAGCCACTCCCAGCCAGTATTTCTCAATTGTAGCTCTCTGCAGTGCCTTATTTGGTATTCCTGTAGATCCAGACAGCCAGTATTTGTTTTCCTTTACTTGGAAAATACAATATACGTGTACTATAATGCCCCAAGGGTACACAGAAAGTCACACTTATTTTCCAAAAAACTTAAAAGCTGACTTAGAGGGTTCAATTATTCCCGAGGGCTTAGCACTCATCTAATATGTAGATGACCTTCTCCTCTGTTCAGACACACTCTCTTCCTCGCAGGAAAAGAGTCTATATTTACTCAGTCACCAAGGGACAAAAAGTATCCGAAAACAAACTTCAGCTATGTTTACACCAAGTTAAGTATTTGGGACATATTATCTCAGTCAAACGACTGAGTATAGAGTGAGAGGAGTTTTAGCTTTCTTAATGCCCATCACTAAGAAACAACTTAGATAAGTTGGGGGGCTGGCTGGCTATTGTGGGAACTGGATACCAAATTTCTCCCTTATAGCTCAACCTCTGTATGCACACCTAAAAAGTGAATAAATAATCTGATCCCATCATGGAGACTCCAGATAGACAACCAGCTGTACAACAAATAAAGGAAACCCTAACTAATAACCCAGCCTTAGGGCATCCTAACTACAAATTGCCTTTCTCCTTTTTGGTACATGAAATTGGAGCTGTTGCATCCTGGGCACTGACCCAGAAACATGGTGATCATTGGAGACCTATAGGCCATTATGGCCAATGGCTTAACCCCATGGCTTGAGGGCTGCCTCGCTCTCTGAGAGCAATATCAGCCACTTCCCTTCTGTACAAGTCTGTTGAAAAAATAATTATGGGTTTCCACCTTATAATTTCAGTACTGCATTCTTTTGAGACCCTTCTAAACTGTTATCATACTCAACATCTCTCTGTCAACCAGTTAACCTCTTATGACATTTTGCTTTATCATCTCCAAATATTATCATTTCCCACTGTAATAATCTTAATCTGGTCACTCTCTTGCTGGGCCCTTTTGAGGAAATCCTTCTTGACTGTGTTCTGATGACAAACCAACTTCTCACTCCCAGGACAGCCCTACAAGAGACACCACTGTATAATGCTGAGATAGAATGGTATACCAATGGGTCTTATTTAAGAGGAGAGGATGGAAATTTTAGAGCAGGATATGCTGTGGTTCCCTTACCAGAGGTAATTGAAGCTGATCCTCTTTCCCAAGCCAGATCAGCTCAAGTAGCCGAATTGATTGCCCTGACTGAAGCTTGTCAATTGGCAAAACACAAGGTTGAGAACATTTACACTGACAGCTGAGCAAAGGTGGAAAAAAAAGCAGGAAGACTTGGATATGGGTTTCTTTTTGGAGTGATGGAAATGTTTTGAAATTACATAATGTTGATGGTTGCACAATTCTGAATAAAAATATTAAATTGTACAGTTTAAATGGATAAATGTATGGTATATCTATGATATTTCAATCAAACTATTATTAAAAAAACAAAAAGTAAAGGAGAAATAAAGACCTCTTGACAAACAAAAATTGAAGGAATCTATTACCAGCAGATCTGACTACAAGAAATATTAAAGGATTTTTGTTAGGCAGAAGGTAAATGTTATAGGTCAAAAATTTGAACCTAGAATTTTTTTAAAAAAGACAAAAACATCAGAAAAGGAATAAATGAATATAACATAATTCCATGTTAACTTAATTGGTCTAAAATATAACTATTAATTTAAAGTAATAAAAAAGCAATATACTGGATCATTATAGCATATTAAGTAGTGAAATGAATTAGAGCCATTTCACAAAGGATAGAAAAAATTGGGAATACTGTCTTAAAAGATATGTGTACTACACATGAAGCAAAAAAGTGTTATTTCAAGATGGACTTAGATTAGTTAAAAATGCATATTGTAAACTTTAAGGAAAACACTAAGCAATAGTTAAAAGAAATATTATTAATACACTAACGGAGGAAATAAAATGCAATCACATAAAATGCCCAATTAAAATGAGAAAAGAAAGAAACAGAAGCCCCTGATAATAATTGATATTAATGTAAATACACAAATATTCATTTTGAATGTGAAGGGTATAAATATACCAATTAAAAGACACATGTTATAAGAGTGGTTTAAAACAAAATCCAAGTGTGTGCTTTTCTAAAAGAACCCAGAATAAATACACAAACCCTAATGGGTTGAAAGTAAATGGATGAAGAAAGAGTTAACATGTTAATACTAATCAGCATAAAGGTGGTGTAGCTGTATTAAAGTCAGAAAAAATAGAGTTTAGAAAAGGGAAAATTATCAGAGATAAAGAGACATTACATAACATTAAGACTGTCAATTCTCCAAGAAGTTATAGGAATCCTAAATCTGTATGCACCTAACAACAGAGCATCAAAATGCATGAGGCAGAAACTAATCAAACTACAAGAAAGACAAATACGGAACTATAGTTGGAGAGTTTAACATCTCTTGTAATTGATAAACTAAGCAGGCACAAAATCAATAAGGATATAGTTGAAACGAACAGTATCATCAATCAATTTGATTTAATTGAAATGCATATAATATTATATCTAATAAAAATAAAATCCATATTCCTCTAAAGCTTGCATGAAACGTTCACCAAAATAGGATATCTTTTGGCCATAACGTTGTAACAAATTTAAAAGAACAGAGATTGTGCAATATATATTCTCTGACAAAAATAGAATTAACCAGAAGCTAAAAACAGAAGCATAGCTGGAAAATTCCCAAATATCTGGGAATTAAACAATGCACTTCAAAATAACACATGGGGCAAAGAAAAGGTCTCAAGAGAAATTTATAATATTTTGTAATAAATTAGAAGAAAACAATTTACAAAGACTATAGGATGCAGCAAAAATAGTGCTTAGTGTAAAATTTAAGACATTAAGTACATACTTTAGAAATTTAAAAAATCTCATATCAATAGTGTAAACTTTTATGCTAGGAAATTAGAGAAAGAAGAGAAATTTAAGCCAAAAACAAGTAGAAGAAAAGAAATATCGAACTTAAAGGAGAAGTAAATAAAATTGTTAGCAGGAAAACAATAGAGAAAATCATTATCATCAAAAGCTGCTTGTACGAGAAGATCAATAAAATGGATAATTTTCTAGGCCAAGCTATCCAACAGAAAAAGATTGAAGATAAAATTGAGAATATCAGAAAATAATGATCTATATTGATCTCCTGAACAGTAAAAAAGAAAGATGAAGAAATGCTATGAAAAATTCTATGCCAAAAAATTGGTAAATAAAATGAAACAATCCCTTGAAGAACACAAACTGCCAAAATTTATACAAGAATAAAAAAGTTACCTCAATAGTCCTATATTTCTTAAAGAAATTGGACCAATATTTAATTACCTTCTGAAAACACAATCAACAGGCCCATATAATTTCACTGAATTCATTTAGAGAAGAAATACTACCAATTCTTCATAATGTCTTTCATAACATAAAAGCAGAGGGAACTCTTTCTAATTAATTTCTTGCTAGTATTATACTAGTATCAAAACTAGACAAAGATGTTGCAAAAGCAGAAATCTGTCTCATGATTATAGACTCGAGATCCTACACACACACACACACACACACACACACAAAATTATAATTTAAAATTATATAATCTTGGCCGGGCGCAGTGGCTCACGCCTGTAATCCCAGCACTTTGGGAGGCCGAGGGGGGCAAATCACGAGGTCAGGAGATCGAGACCATCCTGGCTAACATGGTGAAAACCCGTCTCTATTAAAAATACAAAAAATTAGCCAGGCGTGGTGGCCGGCGCCTGTAGTCCCAGCTACTCGGGAGGCTGAGGCAGGAGAATGGCGTGAACCCTGGAGGCAGAGCTTGTAGTGAGCCAAGATCGCGCCACGGCACTCCAGCCTGGGTGACAGTGTGAGACTCCATCTCAAAAAAAAAAAAAAATTAAATTATATAATTATATAATTTATATTTATATCATTATACATTGTAATCATATAATTTATAATTATATAATTAAGATTATATAATTTTAAATTATATTTATATTTATATTGAATCTAAAATGTAGAAAAATAATAATATGCAACAAAAAGAGGGATTTATTCTAGATATGCATGGTTGGTCCAGCATTCAAAAATCAATTATTGCAACTGTCATGGGATCCTTGGGGTGTCCCTTTGCCAGCCAGAAAACTCTGTCGTCGGCGGCACCTTCTGTCTGACTATTGCTTGTGTACACTGGGCTCATTCTGCCCACTCAGCCCAGCAGGCTGTGCTTGGCTCACGCTACTGGACTGGATCTCATACCTGCTGAGGGCGAGCCAGGCAGGGGGCAGCAAGGGGTATATGGGCGAGCAAGTGGAGAGTCTGGCCACTGTGTGCAGCCAGGCACACTGGCTGCTGAGATTGGGTGGGCAGCTCCAGGCACTGACACAGTTACTGGCTCCGTGGTAAGCAGCAGCTGGACCAGATATACTGCGTGTGGCTTCTGCTGTGGGTATCCGCATCTGGACCTGGGGAACACAGTGGTGCCCAGAAGCCTGGAGATGCCAGGAACCACAGAGCCACAAAGAGGGTTTCCCAGCCCTGGCTGGGGAGGCCCTAGGTCTGGGGTCCCCAAAAGACCACAGCTCTTCTTTCCTGTCTCCTTCAACATGGCCAGCAAAGGGTGTGTTTCACCCCTGTTTGTGTTATAGCTCTTTCAGTTCCATAATTCGCTGGGTCCCAAGTTTCTGTCTTACGTCAAGGAATAATGAGGTACACAGGCAACTGGAGGGTGAGCTAGGCAGACAGGAGCTTCAATGAGCAACAGAACAGCTCTCAGGAGATCCAAAGTGGTGGCTCCTATCCTGCAGGCAGGTCATCCTAAGGTCTGTGCAGCTCTCAGCAGAGAGAAGACCCAGAGCGGGTAGCTCCTATCTGCAGGCAGATCATCCCAATGTCTCTGTGAGTCTGGCTGAGTCTGGGATTTCTATGGGTTTCAGAAGGGAGAAAGTGCCCGCTGATTGGTCCATGGGTGGCCATTGGCAGGCTGGAAACAGCATCACTCTAGGCTTCGGACTCCACTGGGAACTGGCAGCCTAGCCCCCAGGCATTAGGCCATCCCTGGCTTGAAGGTGGAGTTACATAGGGTACCCACCCCTTTTAGCCCAGGAACCTGTTTGTCTCCTGCCATCGACATACCCTGTTCATGCTGAGTGCGCCTGCAGGCCTGCATTGCGCCACCTTCATCAACCCCCAACCCTCCCTCCCTGAGCTTGTGGGTGCCCAAAGCTTCAGAGGTGTCTGAGGCAATGGTGGGGGAAGGTGGGTGGTGCACTGGCATGTCAGCACTGCTGTAAGGGTGCACACACTTGGCCAGGTCACAACAGCATCCAGGCTCAGCTTCAACTTGGCTCTGAAATCAGAGCAGGTGCTGGGAGTGGGGAGAGCCCTGGGAGCAGGAGCAGGCACTTCCAAGCCTGCAGGAGCAGGGGGGGCTTCCTGGTCCCCTAGGGCGCAGGGATGCCTGCATCAGAGGCATGGCCCAGCAGCTGCAGCTGTGCTGGAGAGCACGGGCTCCCACCCCTTTAACTCAGTAGGGGATGCAGTTCCTGCCTGTTCCTGACCCCCATGGGCTCTATGCAGCAAGCAGCCCTGGCTGTCCCTCCCACTCTGTAGCCAGTGTCTTTGCAGCAGCCACTCCAGATGGGCTGCCACTGCTATCACAACCAAACACATGCACAGACTAAAGAAGAATCTATTGATCATATCAGTAAACAAAGAAAAAAGCATTTGACAAAACCCAACCCTTGTTAATAATGAAAAAAAAAACCTCTCTAAAACTAGGAATAGAAGGGAACTTTCTTTTCCTAACTGTGAGAGAATGGAGATTTTCCATCAAATCAGGAATAAGTCAAGGCTGCCCAATCTCATCATTCCCACTTAATATCCTACTGGAATTCTTAGTAGTATGGTAGGATAAGAAAAGGAAATAAAAGGAATATAGATTAGAAAAGAAGAAATACAACTATCTCTGTTTGCAGAAGGCATGATTATCTAGGTAGAATATCCAAAAGAATAAACAACAAAAACAATAAAAATCTATTGGAAATACTAAAGAGGTTGCATAATACAACGTTATATACGAAATCAAATGCTTTTCTATATATCAGCAATAAACAATTGGAATAGTTCATAATTACTTAAGATAGCAACACAAAAACTCAAATACTTACGTATTAATCTAACAAAATACGTGCAGGATCTGTATGTGAAATGTTACAAAACATCAATTTTAAAAAAAATCTAAGAAAATCTAAAGCAATAAAAATACATTCTGTGTTCATTGATTTGAAGACTCGATATTGTTAAGATGTCAATTCTGCCAGGTGTGATGGCTCACGTCTTTAATGCCAGCACTTTGAGAGGTTGAGGTGGGAAGATTACTGGAGTCCGGGAGTTCGAGATGAGTCTGGGAAACATAGTGAGGCTCTGACTTTACAACAAATACAAAAATTAGCCAGGTGTGGTGGCATGGGCCTGTAGTCCCAGCTACTTGAGAAGCTGAGGTGGGAGGATCGACTGAGTCTGGATGGTGGAGTTTGCGGTAAGCTGAGATCATACCACTGCCCTAAAAAGATGTCAATTCTTCCCAAGTGGTACTGGAACAAGTTAACATCTGTTAAGAAAACAAAAAGATACAAAAGAACCTTGACACAGACTTTACAGCTTTCATAAATATTAACTCAAAATAGGTCATAAATCTAAATGTCAAATGCACAACTATAAAAATTATTTAAAAGATTGGGCCAAAAATCCCTTTACCTTGAGTTTGGCCATAAGTTTATAAATACAAGAGCAATAACAAAATCCATGAAGAAAAAATAGACAGGCTGGATTTTAAAAGACACCATTAAGAAAATGTAAAAACAAACCAGAAACTGAGACAAAATATTACAGAACACATATCTAATAGATAACTTGTATTCATAACATTCAAAGAATGCACACAAAAATCCCCCAAATGATACAACAAACATGCAAATGAAGCATACCATATTCATATAAAGATATTATTAATAGGGCATATTAAATGTGTGATATGAAGACTCTCTATAGCATCATCACAATAATTCTGTAAACCTAAAACTTTTCTAACATTTTTAAAATGTTTGTTACAAAAAAAATGATTGGAGAGGTTAAAGAAGGACAAATTAACATCTATTGATTCCTGCTAAATTTTCACTCTTTTTCATGGCAGAATTGGAGCCCGCCAAAATAGTATGGATGAATTAGATTTTTGAGGATGGCATTACCAAAGCAAATGAAAGAGGACAGGGCAAATAGCTGTGTCACCACTGAGCCATAGTTTAACTTTAGACATTGACATGGATCTCTGCAATGACACGTAGCCATAAAAATATCCATAGCATTTGACATACACATTGGTGAATATTATGGGTCTCTTAATATAAATAAAGATTCTGAAATGCAGAGTGAGGTGATCAGGACTAGGTCAGATTAAAATCTTACCACTGAATAAAGCATGTTTGTTTTTAAAAGCCCACGTGTTAATCGTAATGTGTAAACACAACAATTAACCGTGGATTAAATTTACAGAGAAAATTAGCCAAGAAGGGTGCTTAATAAATATTGGTTGAATGAATAAATAAATATCCTGACTTGTGAGTGCAGTATTTTGGTAATACTATCCAGGAACTACTAGGAAAATTTTAATGAGAAGATATTTAAGGTCATAAAGTTTATGTTTTATTTAGCACAATCTGTAACTGGATAGAGAAAGACTGAGCATATGGAAAAAAATTAGGAGTCTTTTTTTACTCTAGAGAAGATGATGGCATGAGAGATGTGCTAACAGCAGGAATGGGGAAGACAGGAAAGAAAAAAAATAATAGGCAGAGCCTGGTAACTTATTGAATATAGAGAAGGAGAAAGAGTGTGATAGTTTAAGAAATCTGTTTTCTTAACTGTTTCTTGACAGGCCTTCTATCTAGAAAGTTTACTGGTAGATCATAACTTGGATATTTAACTTATGTTATGCTTTGGACTTAATGAGATTAGTCTAGAGGGAAATTCAGGGGATCTTTATGTTGTGACAAAGTGTTCATTAGCCATGGTAATAGCTGATTTTAAAGATCATCTGTTTTCTGTGAAAAGAAAAAAATACAATGTGTTTAAGTGGTTGTGCTGATGTTCCATTTTGACAATAATTACTACACAATTGTGAAGGGAAACTGGTCATTTACAAACTGTAATGACAAATCTTAATCTGGTAATAACCACAAATGTACTCCATTACATGTATAATTGGCAGTAATCTGTATCCAAGCACTGGCCCAGACAGGCAACAGCTGAAGGACAAAATTCTCATTTCCTAGCTATATAATGTTCCTTGAAATACATAAGCAGGTAACTCTAATTATTGAACTGTACGTTATTTATAACAATATTAAGATGCTTTTCTTTAAAAGGTTCACGTTTGTATTCATCTATCTGAAAAGACTAGATGGTTAGTTTAAGTAAATTCTTGAGGTGATGAATACCTCAGTTACCCTGATATGATTATTACACATTGTATGCCTACATCAAATCATCACTTGTACCTCAGAAATACATACACCTATTATTTACCCATAATAATTAAACAAATAGAATTATATAAATGAAATGAAAAGGAGGAGTAGAAGATCTGAGTGATTAAAATAAACAAGGAGAAGACATCACTTACTCATTGCTAAGTTCCAGCTAGAAACTGACTTGGCATTTTAATTACTTACCTGAGATTTTTATCAACATTTAATTATTGACATGAGATATTCTTATCATAAAAGTGTATGGAAGAGTCTTGACTTTTTGTTATGGACTGAATCGTGTGCACCCAAAATTCATATTGTGAAGCTCAAACCCCCAATTGACTGCATTTGGAGATGGGCTCTTAAGGGGATAATTAAACTTAAAGGAGGTTATAAGGCTAACATCCTAAACCAATAGGACTGCTGTCTTTGTAAGAGGAGGAAGAGACATTAGGGGCATACATGCACAGAAGACAGGCGAAATGAGGACACAGGGAGAAGGCTGCTGTCTGAAATCCAGAAAGTGAGCCCTCACCAAAACCGAATCTGCTCCCAACTTCGTCTTGAATGTCCACCCTCTGGAACTATAAGAAAATACATTTTTGCTGTTTAAGTACCCAGTCTATGGTATGTTGTCATGGCAGCCTGAGCAGACTAGTAAACTCACTAATAGTGACCATAAAATCAACTGGACATGTCCTCAATTTCATCTAATGGGCAGGGAAAAACTAACTGCAAAGAACAATCTAAATGAACAGTAGAAAATTCCTACGTGATGTGTGTCATTTATTTAACATACTAGCTATGCAGAATATTTATCTCCAAAGTAATTTAATTATTTAAAACACTGATTAAAATTCTAATGATTTTGCGGGGGGGAATCTTTTCAAAAATTTAATGAGATATGCCATTTTTCTCAGTCACTTTCGCGTTTTGCTGATTTATTTTCCTTAGAGACATATTAGGCCAGAAGGAAATTTGACCAGAAACCTACCTGCATTTTACAGGTAAAGTTTCTGACAATAGTGGTATTTCAAATTCTTTGGATAGTTTTTTAAAAATTATCTTATTTACATTTTGATAATTTTAAATTCAAAAGGTATAAATTTTGTTGCAAAACATTTTCTTAAAGTTTCTGGCTCATGTGGTTAAATTTCTTCCCTGTAGGCCACACTACTTTCCTATTTTCACTTTCCATTAGTAATCACCATTGACTTTATCAAGTATGTTTGGCCAGAATTTTATATATGCACAGTTACACTATATATATTGGTAGTTTAAAAAAATGAGTTTATATTATACATAATTTTCTATAACTTCCTTTTTTTTAACTCAACAACACATCCAAGCATCCTTCTACATCGGAATTTATAATTTTCTCATGTTTTTTATTATATATTTGCTTACTTTACTGTTTCTTAATTAACTTAAAGCTATTTTATCAATATAATAAAAGTAAATGTTATGACTATCCATAATAATTTATAGATTACAGAAGACCTGTCCTCCTCACCTTCCTCGAAATTATCATTATTCATAGTAGATTTTTACCTCCTATCACTGAGATAACTCCAAATAATCATTTATTTGATTTTTATTTTTCATTGATTTCATTTATTCATTGATTTTTCCAAATGTAGATGAATTATCTTCCTTAAAATGTTTCCATATTCAATTTTCCATTCATATAGTTGTTTGTTACATGGGTTTTTACATTTTTTTCTTGTCTTTTTCTGTCTTGTAACTCACCACTACGTAAGTATTCACATTCCAATCCCCTCTTCCACTTGTACTTTTTGGTGCCTCCTCACTTTGTCAGCTACACCATTACTTTTATATGATCAAGATATATCAGGTTGATATTCTCATTAATAATTCTAGTTACATTTGTATTGTCACCATTAGATTCTAAAAATTAAAAATATTTAAGAGTTAAGACTGTAATTTTTAATTATTTAATTATTGCTGAGAAATCAAATAATATTTTAAGATTACATTTCCTTCTCTGCTGTACTTGGATTGGAAATAAAAGGTATCTGATCATGTCAGTGGAAATTGTCCTTACCGTTAAAGTCACACGAATTCATTTGATCTCCAGCTGCTGAAATGTGTCCTATAATAATTTGCTTCATATTTGAAACACTTAATTTTTATAGAATTTTTCGCCTCATTAAACAATTTTTATCATAAAAGAACAGTGAATGTTCACATTCTTTATTACTCCTCAGGTTTCCAATAATAGCATATATTATGGCAATTAATTAATTATTTTTTTGCCAAAGTATATTTCTCCTAGAATTCTTTGAACTCTTGCTCCCAAATTGTTGTTCTCAGGCTTCTTTTTCTGCCGTCATTCTGGGATGTACTCTGGGTTTAGAATCTCTGTTTCCTGAGCCTTATGGCTTCCACATTCTTAGAGTTCGCCCTTGACTTACTTATGCATTTATTATTTAAAAAAATAGATATAGATGAAGTCTCACAATGTTGCCCAGCTGGTCTCGAACTCCTGAGCCCAAGCAATCCTCCTGACTCAGCCTCCCAAAATGCTAGGATTACAGGCGTGGGCAACTACGCCCAGCCTCTCTGTTGTTTCTTTGTTTCTTTTTTTTTTTTTTTTTTTTTTTTTTTTTGAGACAGAGTCTCGCTCTTTCGCCCAGGCTGGAGTGCAGTGGCGCGATCTCGGCTCACTGCAAGCTCCGCCTCCCAGGTTCACGCCATTCTCCTGCCTCAGCCTCCTGAGTAGCTGGGACTACAGGTGCCCGCCACCACGCCCACCTAATTTTTTGTATTTTTAGTAGAGACGGGGTTTCACAGTTTTAGCCAGGATGGTCTCGATCTCCTGACCTCGTGATCCGCCCACCTCGGCCTCCCAAAGTGCTGGGATTACAGGCATGAGCCACCGCGCCCGGCCCTTTCCATTGTTTCACTGCAGGTTTTTCTTAAGTAGTTTCCATGGCAGTTTTATGGGAGGAAAAACACCTTAGCAATTGAACATTTTGATAATGCATTTGTTTTGCTTTCACTGATGAAAAATATCTCTGAATATGCAATTTTAAAACATTCCCCCAGCAATTTAAAGCACTGATCCAACATCCTTTTTTATGGCGCTAATTAGAAAGTTATACCTTCTCTATTTTCAGTCTCTTTGTTGGTGATCTTTCAATTATTTCTCCCTCTATGCTTTTATGATTTTATCTTCTTTTTGAGGCATGGAAATTGCACAAGTGTGTGTTAGAGAGCTTTTTCGTTATTTATCATTTTTATTAATTCAGCAGACTTTTCAGTGTGAAAACCTATGCTTTCCTTAAGCTCATTTAATATTTTGTAGAGTTGTAAAAATTGTTCTCTTTACATCCTCTTCTCAAAAAACATCCATCCAGTATTTGTTACCCACAGTTTGTATAAATTCTAGAATAATATTATACTTTCAAGATTGATCTACTATCCCTCTTCTATGTTTTTGGTGCTGTTCATGGCTGAATTCTAAATCAACTCACCATCCTACTGCCAGTTGATGATCTTGTTTGTTATTTTACTGAATACATAGAAGTAATCAGAAAAAAAAAGTATCTTCCACAAACTGCATCCTCCAGCTCCACCTATCTGCGGGCATATATCATTGACTTCTCCCCGTTACAATGTGGAACTCTTATAGTCAAGGCCATGACCTTGTGCACCATATTTGTGCACTGTCTTCTACTCAAGGATTGTAATCCACTGATGCTACCTTCATCCTCCTCCAAGACTGAAGCACTCTTCCCCAGTGGCTGGTAGTCTTATGGCTAACATCCCTTATCTGTGTCTCTGTCCAGGATTTTCCCTCTTCTAAAGAGAGGTGTCTTGCCCAAGGCTATGCACCCTTTTCTAGGCAGCCAGCTTACAAAGATTGGCTAACGGAGGGAATACAAGTCTGGATCTCTCACTCCAATGCTAGACAATTGTGAAGAGTAACCAGAAATTTAGAGAGTTCCTTGTTTGACTGGCTTTGGATCTATGGCTCCCCCATGGATAGGACTGACTACGTAAATTTTAGGTTTCAGTGAAAATTGAAACTGGGGGACCCGTTGGTCAAAAATAATTTAAAAAATCAACATTCTGAAAACAGAGCATTAAACCAAAACTGAAACCCTTCTAAACACAGAGACCTGTGCCCTATAGCATAGGTCACACACTCATGACGCCTGCCCTGCCCACAGGCTTCATCCTGAAAGCGTTCCCCAGTACGCTTCCTGTATGGAAATACATAGTTCAGTGTCTGCTTCTCAGGGAAACTAATCTACAACAAGGATGTAACTCCACTCTTCCTCTTTAATATCGCTTGCATATCAAAATTCCCTTTTCCTATTTACTATGTTGTGCTCATCAGTCAACAAATAAGCTGGCCTTTATCTCATTATAGAAACAAACAAATGAGCAAACCAGACTTATCAAAGCAGTCGAGTATACGTATGTGGGTAATTCTCCTTTTCCCCATTATTTCTTCAATCCAATTTTTTTTTTATTTCACCATCAACAAAAATGACTATTGTTGGCTGGGCGTGGTGGCTCACGTCTGTAATCCCAGCACTTTGGGAGGCCGAGGCGGGTGGATCACGAGGTCAAGAGATGGAGACCATCCTGGCCAGCACGGTGAAATCCCGTCTCTACTAAAAATACAAAAATTTGATGGGCGTGGTGGCGCATGCCTAGTCCCAGCTACTCAGGAGGCTGGGGCAGGAGAATCGCTTGAACCCAGGAAGCGGAGATTGCAGTGAGCCTAGATTGCACCACTGCACTCTAGCCTGGGTGACAGAGCGAGACTCCATCTAAAAAAAAAAAAAAATGCTATCGTTAAAGTCACCAGTGTTATCAAGGGTAACAAATCCAAAGTCAATCCTCAGTCTTCATTTTCTCGGACTCAGAAGTAACATATGACATACTTTATCACTCTCTTATCCATAAAATACTCTGGAGTTGGGTGAGGAGGCTCATGTCTGTAATCCTAGCACCTTGGGAGGCCAAGGCAAGCAGATTGCTTGAGTTCAGGAGTTAGAGACCAGTTTGGGCAACATGGCAAAACCCCATCTGTACAAAAAATACAAAAATTAGCTGAGCATGGTGGCAGCTGCCTCTAATCCCAGCTACTCTGGAGGCTAAGGTGAGAGGATCGCTTGTGCTCAAGAGGTCAAGGCTGCAACGAGCTGTGATTATGCCTCTGCACTCTAGCCTAGGTGACAGATGGAGAGCCTGTCTCAAAAAACAAACAAACAAACAAAACAGACACAAAAACAAAAAAACAAAAAACCACACACACACAAAACAACAGTAACAGCAACAACAGCAAACTCACAGAAAGAAATACTTTATCTTTTTCTTGTTTCTAGGAACACATTCATGTGATTTTCTTTTAAATTTTGGGGTACTTGATTTTAGAAAATTTTGTTTTTGGTTTTGTATAATATTCACTGCTTGTAAATGTTTGAATGCCTTAGGGCACAACTTTTGATTTCTTCATTTATATTTACTTCTTTCCCTCAATGGATATCCAATTCCATAAATAAACTAACTTTAATTTTAAGAAAAGCGCCCTAATTTAAAAAGATTAGCCAGTGGAGAGGATACACGTCTGGATCCCTCACAATTGGGATCCTCAGGTATCCAACTATCTAGCATTGAGAAGCTCCAGCAAGATTCTCTTCTCTGAATTTTACTAATTAATCTATAGAATCTGCTGTTTTTTCTAATTAGGTGATAATACATACAAGTAACGATAAATTTTTCTTTCAAGATTTATAGCCATTATTATTATTATTATTTTATTTCCTCACATTTATCAAAACCGCAGATAAAATATTAAATCATTGTGCTAATAGTTAATATCTTTGTCTTTCTCCTGATTTATATTTATATTATAGCCTAGAATTTGATCCTCCATGACAAAGTGGCCCACTGCTTATGTTATCTGTCATCTGGCTTCTGCACTTCAGTGAAAACTGTGGGTCACAGTAACTGGCACCATGCTGATCTTGCTTAAGCTGTGTGTGTGTATATATATAAAAGCAGTATCAATCCATTTGGGCTTATTGTGTCCTCTCTTTACTGGACAAATCTATGGAAGAATGGTAGACCCACCAAACAGCTGCAGTAATCAATGTTTAGGGAATGTTTGATTCCTTGGCAGTTTGTGCACAGGTGAAAAATGGTGGCTATGTATAAAAAAAAATACAAAGCACTTAAAAGCAATGTTTAAGATACACACAAAACAATAGGAGTGAATCTTAAAATACACAGTTCCAGGTAAAATTAAGCAAAAACAAGAATAAAATCAATAACAGAAAAATGTTTTCTTAAATTAATATACATACGCACAAATGGGAGTAAAAATAAGAAGACACAGTAGTAACTAAAATAAAACAATAGGAGACTGACATGGATTCCAATGATAATGTGCACGACTTTGGAATTTGATTAACTCTAGGCTCTGCACCTGAGATTTATAAAATCAAAACAAAGAACAAACAAAAACACAGTGGTTAAGCAATTGATGTCCCTAAGGTCAGGGCCTAGAGAATGAAACAAATACTGTTGCTAGAAAGAATCATTGCTGTAGTGCTTTCTGTAGAGAAAACAAAATCAATTTCTAGTATTACTGTCTTATAACCAGGCCTTCATGTTTCATTTATCCATGCCCAAAGGGTTAAAGTTCTTAGAAATTGGTTATTTTAGTTTACAAGTCTGCTCACCTCCTAGGTTAATTGACTAGTTTAGTTGACCACTGGAGTCTCTGGTGACCAATTATTCTATAGAGGGTAAGTTTCTTCTCTTTTGGAAACTTTCAAATACAATAAATCATGCTATTTCCATCTTCTTTACTGCCTAGTTATTTATTTAAAAGCCTTACCAACAGAGCCTACATGGAGAGATTCTAATGAGATTAATCCTTCTCAAGAAAGCTATCCTTGGTTAAGTCCAGGCTAAATTCCTATTTTGGACGATGCTGTGAATTAGCTGGTACTGAACTGCTCTAAGAGATTAAAAAACTACAAATTTAATCCCTATAAGCAAACCCATTGGTAGCATAACCAGCTACACATTCAAGGATCAGAGAAGATTTCATTTCTTTACATTTTATCTAGGGAAAAATTGACCTAAAAAGACTTTAAACAACTTAAGCAGTAAAGGTGCTGCATTTTAGTGCACAAGATGAAGATTGGTTCTTAAAAGACTAAGTTTAAGTTCAGAGACTTGCATGTGGTAGTGGTTTTCATTGGTTTAAATTTGAGCAAGTATTTAACCTCTCAGAGTGTTTATCCTCAACTTTGAGAGAGAGATTAATGTATGCTTCACTGGTCACTTTGTAAATGCAATTCTCCTGGATTAAAAACTTGCACTCCTCAAACGTATCTCTTGTGGGAACAAAACTAACCTCAACACTTGCCCAGCTGCTAAGAGTATAGGTCTGTCTTAGAGTTTTCTTTTCTCATTTAATCTGTTTATTTTTTTCTTCTATATAGATTCATAGAAAACAAACATATATCCCTACTCACCTGTCCTTTGAACAGATTAGTGAAAGACTGCAGTATATATGCCATATAAGGCACTTAAAATGATAAAACCAATATTTTGTGGAGTGGGATGCATGTGTGTATGTGTTTGTGTGTGCGCGCGCATGTGTGTGTGTATTGACTGTGTACTTGTGTTATTTGGGCTGTGTTTGAAGCACATCTTGTTCTTTCCTGATCTCACATTAACTACTTGAGAAATTCCTGGCCCATTTCTAAGGTCGGAAATGCCAAAAATGTGTGTGGGCAGAAGCTTCTGCAAAGAAGAGAGAGGATAAGATCCCAAATGAGATAAAGTTTTACTTAGCAAAAGCTACAGAGAGCCATAGGGAGGGAAATGGTTTTAAAGTACACGAAATAAGAGTGACTTGTAGCTTAAGGCATACAGGCTAGGAATTCCAATTCAGACTATTCAAAATTATATTGGTTTAACCACAGTTGGAATTTGATTTTTTTTTATGTTTAGACTTTGGCTTTCTTTTTATTTGCATGCTGTTCTACCATAGTTATTAGTATTATAGAAATACTTAATAAATTCATAAATTACTTAAAGATTGTCTTATATTGTCAGAAATATTTTAGTTCAGGTGTGCTACCCTTCAGAGGAAGGAAAGGAGTAGAATAGCATGCGTTTACATTTATTCTCTGAAATGTTTTTCATTCCTTGTGGAGTTCTCATCGATTTGGAGGCAAAATCTGATTGAATTGTTGTTCATGAGGCACTTCCAATGACTCTGGGCCAGAATGAATCTTCTTATGAGGATCTTGGTGACAATGAGTATCATAACCGTGGGAAGACAGCTTCTGCCTCTCCACACAATCTCTGTTGTCCTAGTATTTTGAACACTTATGTCTGGGAATGGGGAATCTTATGATGGATTCCAGCAGAAGTGAACCTTCTCTAGGGAGTTTTGTTGCCTGCAAATATGCAGAAATGAGAACGTGTGTAGGTAACAGCCTGGCTTAGAAGAACATGTGAGCATCTGCTTGAGAACTCTGGGATTAATCTGAGGTGAAAAGAAGGAAGTTCAAATGCATTGAGCTCAGCAGTCCTGTGAGAGGAAGATGTATTAGCTGTATTTCCAGTTGCCCAGCTGAAAAAGAACACCTTATTCGCAATTTTATGTTCTTGCAAATTTTGCACTGGTACACATTTATTATAATGAACTTAATTTTGTTCTTTCTCCAAAATATAATTTTTCTAGTTTTAGTAGAACAGAGTATAGTAAAAGTACAAAAGTATAGTAAAAGAACAAAATAATTTATAACACAATGTTACAGTAAACAAGTATAGTAAAGGAACAAAATAATTTATAACACATTATAGTAAACAAGTACAGTAAAAGAACAAAATAATTTATAACACAATGAAAGGTATACAATTGCAAATTGTATTCCCATTCACGATAATACAAACTTTTAGGCATTCTTTCCATGTACTTTAAAAATATATATGATGCCTGGACATATGGAAAATTCTCTTGTCTGTGAGTGCCTGTTGCTGTAGGAAAAACCCCAAATGCTTCTACTGTTACATGAGTCATATCCTGCTGGCCCTGCTGTTAGCCTGCGGATCACACCACCACTCCACAGCCAAGGTGTTGCTCCCAAACTCTTCTCCAGTTTTGAATTGGAAGTCTCCTTTTTGATTTATCTTATGTAATACCTTTTATCCTATTCAAATGTCAATAGTCACTTCATTTATCACCAGAATGTTGCCTTCAGTTCCCTCACTGTGTTATTTATTTAGATCTCAGCTGCTTGTCCAACCACCCTCTCCATTTTTGTGTTCTCTATGAAAGTCAAGTTCAGTATAATTAACATTAGCCTTTAACACAGTATACTGCAAGAAGAATTCAGGTAAAATTATAATACAGTTCTGGAGTCCAGTGTGGGTTTCTCTCTCACCAAATACTGCATAATCCTTATATGCAGAGTGGCTAGGATACTGTTTGGTGTCAGTTCAGTTTGGCATTTTATTTTATTTGCCTTAATGATTCTGACTCTGAATGCTAGGACAGCACTGTTTCTGGATCCCATGATTGTATAAATTTGAGAGGTTATTTCCTGTTATCGGAAATGGACTTGCCATTGTGCACTGTCAGTATAAACTTAGGGAAACTTTTGATCCAGTCACAGAGACCAGATATATGAGAAATTCTAAGGAATGTGAAGTTTCTTTTCTCAATTCTATTTACCCAAGTTTCTTGTTCTTACCTTGTAAATTACCCCCAAGGTGACATTGTACTTTCTTCCAATTTTTTCTATCCCTTATCTCCAATTCTTCTTTTACCCCATCTTTAACCCTCTTGAATATTGTCTATCATATGTGCCATCACAGATCTTGTTCCTTATGAATCTTATGACTGGAATTGGACTTAAAGAGGTTACCACTTCCAGGGTAATATACTTCATTTTTAAAGGTGCTTTGAGTTAAAGAAATGAAGTGACATCAAGCCTGTGGACACAATTTCTTGGGCAAATAGTCTTATAATGTGCGGTTTAGATAAAAGTGCCTGTGATAGAAACACTGTGTGTCAAAAAGGATGGGGAGTGATGAGCTAGTAATGTGGATATTGTGGAAAGTAAGGAAGGGAGGATGCAGGAGGCCTCCTCTGTTTCTGCCAGGCTTAAAGGTGACCTGTTAAGGTAGCTGGAGTTTATTTGCATAGAAATAGGGAGGGAGGAGAAAGGGCTATACAGACGTTAACTTTGTCTTTCTTTGGCTTTCTTCTTTTTTAATCATATTTTATTCAGCTTTTCTAAAAATTTGGACTAACTGCCTATTATATACTAAAAAACAAAACCATAGAACATAAAATGTAGAGTTAATTAAGTTCCTGGATAGGTCTAAATAATTAACAATTATTATAGCTCTGTTTCTTCTCAAACTCACTCTTAAAAACTGTGCATAAAATTTTTTGATATTTTACATTGCATGATAAAGGTTGTAATCATATATTTATTTATATATATTAGTCAATATAGATATTGTTCATATTATATGCTATTACCTTTCACTCTTATTATTATGCTGAATAAGATTTAAGATTTCATTTATGAAGATTAAGTTCGAGTGTTTAATATTTAATTTAAAAAGCTATAAGCCAGATTGGTGTGGCATCTTTGTTCACTTTTAAAAGATTCTGATATAATTAAATTATTGATTTTTAAGACATCAGTCAGCATGCATGTATTGTGATGAGCTCTATTATGATGTTTTTTCCCCCAGACATGATCATCTTAAACATTGTATATCTTAATATTATCTACTCAGAGACTTTTCTTTGCATGCAGATGTTAATTTTAAAACATGAACACAAAAATACATAGAGTTTTATTCATGAATGTTGTCAATCCTATAGCATCAACATTATAATATGAAGATTATTAAGCAAATCAAAAGGCAAGCAGCTGAAAATGTAGAAATGAAACTTGCTATTGAACTTGCTAAAGTAGAGTATATAAATAATAATCATCCAAATATTATTTTAGTTTTTTTCCTATTATCTCCTGGGCTTCATGTAATAAACATACTTTTCATTTCTGTAAATCAATGTTTTAACATCTACAAAATATTCACTGCATGTTCCCAAGTAAACTCTGGCTCACCTAAACGCATCCAGAGACTTAGATAGTCCCAAATCATATGCTCAACAGTCACAGTGAACATGAATTTTGCAGGGTAGACTCTTTCACACATAGCTTGCCAATCCTAAACTCCTTCTTTTCCTGGCCCATTCCTTCTTGAGAGACACATAATGAAGGCATTTGCCCACAGTTCCTCTTTCTCCTTCTGCCTTCTGGTGGACCGTGGTGCATCCTGAGTTACCCTGTCCTGCCTGGTGTGCTGTGTTTTTCCAGGGAACTGAGCTTGATAAAACTGCAAAACTCTCTCTCTCTTCAACTGCTTCTGGCCTCACCATGTCTCACCTAAGATAATATGGCTCAAACACTTAAATGAGTTTATTATTCTATATGTGGCCATTTAAACACATATATTTTCAAATAATAAAGATAGGCTGGAACTCTATAATGAAACTCTAACTTAATAGTTAGATTGAAACTCTACTATTTGAAATATATGTGCTTAAATAGCCACATACAGAATAAAATGATTGAATAATATATGAAATTGCAATATTTCCTGTAAAGATAATAATGAAAAAAAATGCTTGTTCTCTCTTGGGAATAAATTAGAAGAATCTGATAACAGCAAGTGGAGTGCAACATAATTATTTCTAATGACAATGACCTCTGTTGGTACTATTTCCTGTAGGAGAGATGAGGTGTAGTAAGTAAAAGGAAGAAGTTTGTTTGTAATAATTTATAAGATTTACTTCTCCACAATTTGAACAGTTGGAACAAATTGCACTGGCTGAATTCCAGAAAGGAACAGTTTAAGTAGGGGTGTAATGAGAAAAGGCATAAGGACATTTTGGATATCAGTGCAGTGCCATTAATTTCACCAAATTGACTTTGTAAGCTTGGTCTGTCTCCACTGGTAATGTATAACTGTCTATGCTGATCCTTACATTATAATACATCTTTTGATATTAAAAATTATTGATAAAATAATTAAAATGAGAAATCTACATCTATTCTTATAACAAAGCTTAGAAAGTTGTGAAAGTATACCATGTTAAATTGAATAATAGTGACACAATGGATAATGTCTAGGGCACTTTTTAATGTGGAATTCTAGTTGCGCCCAAACAATTAGTTGAAAAAAAAAATCTCTTTCCATTGAGTTTTCTTTTCACTTTCATAGTTTATTAATTGCCCTTATATGTCCGGTTCTATTTTGGACTCTCTAGTCCGTTCCATTTATTAATATGCCTATCTTTTTACTCATACCATGCTGTCTTAACTATGAATTTATAGTGTGAGCTTTTCAACCTTGTTTTTCTCTTTCAAAATTGTTTTGACTAATTTAATTTAGTTGCTTTTCATGTAAATCATAGAATCAAATTCTTAATTTATACTAAAATTATGCTGTTATTTCTTTTGCGTTTCACTGACAACATATAACATTTTTTGAAAAATTTACATATTTGTACAGTGAGTGAGTCTTCCAATCCATAGTATGACATATCTTTCTATTTCTTTTTTTAGACAGAGTCTCACTCTTGTCGCGGAGGCTGAAAGGCAGTGGCATGATCTCCGCTCACTGCAACCTCCGCCTCCCAGGTTCAAGTGATTCTCCTGCCTCAGCCTCCTGAGTAGCTGGGATTACAGGTGCCCACCACCATGCCCAGCTAATTTTTGTACTTTTAGTAGAGATGGGATTTCTGCATGTTGGCCAGGCTGGCCTCGAACTCCTGACCTCAGTTGATCCGCCCTCCTGGGCCTCCCAAAATGCTGGGATTACAGGTGTGAGCCACCGCACCCAGCCATCTTTCTATTTCTTTAGGTCTGCTTTGTTTTATTTCATCAGTGTTTTGTAGTTGTCAACATACAGTTCATGCATACATTTCTTTGATGTATACCCAGCATTTCGTGTTTCCTGGTGCTATTGCAAATAGTTTTATTTTTAAAGTTTTAATTTCTGATTGTTCATTGCTAGTATTTAAAAATACAATTGATTTTTGTATATTGACCTTGTATCCTCCAACTTTCCTAAATTCACTTATTAGTTGTGTTTCCTTGTACTCATATATTGTTTGTAGGTTCATAGAGATTCTCTGTGTAGACAATCATGTCACTTTTAAATAGTGTCAGTCTTATTTTTTTCTTTCTAATATTATTTCATTTATTTCTCCTCCTTACATTATTGCCCCATCTCAGTTAGTTTCTTCACATCCATGTGCTGATAATCACTCTGCTGGAAAGGACACTTTGAAGATCTGTGGTGGTCCCTCTCTCTGTGCAAGTCTCTCCTTTTTTTACTCTGCCTTATGAATTGCAGTTATTTTGGCCTCCTTTAACCTCCAACTCCATCTCCCCAGCTCAAATTCTACTGGTTCTGCCCAGTCAACCCTCTCTCCAGGCATTAAGCTAGGGACAATCATAGGACTTTCATACTTCTTTGCCTCAAGGATCATTACTCGACACTGCCTGCTATCAAATATCTGAAAACATTGCTCTTTATCTTTTTTCAGCTTTTTGGTTATTTAAGGAAGGTGGGTAAATATGTATCTGTTACTCCATCTTGGGTGGAAGCAGAATTTTCCACCATTTATATTTTTATATTGAATATGACCACATTGAAAGTAAGAATGATTTTTTAAAATGTGCCTTCATTTCCATTGCATGACAGAAACATCAGTGAATTTCTGCTAGGTAGAGTACATTCAGTACCATAATGAAGGAAGACAATAAAGCCTAACTCAAAACTCTCTTCTGCAAGAACATAGCATGACATTGCAGAGATTAAAATAAAAAACTGGAAGGACATGTTTTAATTTCTGTTCTTTCAAAAGCAGTGCCTGACACTTAAACCTGAGAACTAGCAATGTATTTGGGAGTAAATCCCATAGAATGGAAAGAAAAAATGACATTAGTGAGACATAGAAGGAAGAAAACCCAAAATGTAAGAAAACCTTCCAGAATGACCATAAAAATCATCTCTACAAGGTATTAGAAGCTGGGCATTTATCTTTCAACCTCCTTTACTATTTGTTGATAATTTTCCCCCATGAGTGTGAATGTTGTGTTTTGATGTCTCAATGTCTTCCCTTAAGCTTTAGAGAAAAACCTGAGACAGAATTTAGAGACTCTGTAGAGGGTGCCTGAGCTGGAATGTGGGGCATAATGTTCAAAACTTTATACTATAGCTGTGCTGAAATTTTAGTGACATGAGGGGTTGTGACAAAGGATAAAAAGGTGTTTGCCAGAAATCTAAATATTCTCCTGCTGCAAAAAGTCCATGGTAGACAAAAAGTCAATCAGGAAATAGGTCATTTGAAACTGCCTTTGGTACTACAGATTCATTACAGTCACCCAACAGTGTGTTGGAAGACCTAAGGAGAAAGGTGGGAAAACCAACAGAAAACCAGGTTAATGGACTTTTCTAGAAGCTTTTCAATGAATGGAAAGTTATAGTACCAGGGAATGTACCAGACACAGCTGCACTTTTTTCATAGAATAAAACTGAGGTCAAACACAAAGAAAAAGAATGCATCCCTGGTGCTCAGCCACTTCGCCCAACACAGTCAGAGAAATATCAAATAATCTATAACTGAACAAAGATCATGTTATCTTTCAACTTTACTTTTCCATCAATAAATGACCTAAGACAACAGTACTAGCAATAGAACATTTCAAATAATAAGTTTTCTTTCAACAATTCTATATGACAGTTTTTTTTATGTGTTAGGAACAATCACACAAATGGTGAGTTTGTACTAAAAACACACTAACGTATGGACAAGACAAGCCGTGCCTATAAAAATAGCTGTTTTAATCTAATTATAAATAATACATTTCAACATGGAAATTTAAAAAATACCATAAAACACAATACAAAATATATTTATGGGAAACATAATATGGTTTTCAACTTCCAGATTATATTAACAAATTAAAAATCGAGAAAGAAAAATAATGAAGAATAATATAGTGTGTTCAAGGTACATGAAAGAAATGAATAATTAACAATTATTAACATATGAATTATGAAAGTACATACGAAAGTGTTAAAATTCTAAAATTGGAAATTAAAGGATGATGAAATATATACTATGCGATTCCTGCCTTAAAAACTGCAGGAATGGCACCATTAGCATATACAAGGAGCAGCAAATTAAGTTAAATATTATTTGAACATACAGGGAATTTTTTTGTTAATATTAAGTTTTAGCATGAAAATTTGGTAGTTAAGTCACTTTCTGAATAAGGAATTTAGTATCAATGCATGTACATAATAATTGTCAAAGTAAAGGAGAAAATGAAAGAATCAAACATAATTATAGACTTTAGTATGCCCGTATAAGACTGCAACATGGCAAGTAGCTAAACATTAGTTATATAATAATAAGTAAAATTATGAATAATTATGATCAGATGATAATGATAATCACCTATTTTAAATACTTTCCATGTGTCAAAGTTTTTAGGCAGAAAAAAATCTGCCATTTTGCCAGATTATATTGCTTTTCTTTTATCATTATATTTTTATCAAATAGGGAGTTCGTATCTTTCTTTTGAATTCTATATGACACAATCAACTTTCTTGGGAAGTATTCATGAGCTTAAAAATATAAATAAACAGACAAAAATACTACACAAAGCTCAGTACATTTATTTGAAGCATGGGAAACAATGAAGATAAATGTTACGATTTTTAAAAGTCAGTATTTTGATGACTTTTATTAAAAAAAGGCAATAATAAATGCTGGCAAGGATATGGAGAAAAGGGAACCATTTTACACTGTTGATGGGAATGTAAGGCAGTACAACCATTATGGTGAAAAGTTTAGAGGTTCCTCAAAAAACTAAAAATAGAGCTACCCTATGATCCAGCAATCCCACTGCTGGGTACTTACCCAAAACAAATCAGTGTTTTGAAGAGATATTTGTACCCCCATGTTTACTGCAACATTATGCACAATAGCCAAGATTTAGAAGCAACTCAAGTATCCATCAAAAGATGAATGGATAAAGAAAATGTGCTCCATATACACAATGAAATATTATTCAGCTATAAAAAAGAATGAGTTCTGTCATTTGCAACAACATGGATAGAACTGGAGGTCATTATGTTAACTGAAATAAGCTAGGCACAGAAAAACAAACTTCACATGTTCTCACTTATTTGTGGGATTTAAAAATCAAAACAATTGAACTCAGAGAGATAGAAGTTAGAATGACAGTCACCAGAAATTGAGAAGGGCAGTGCGGGTTGTGGGGGAGATGGCTAATTGGTATCAAAAATATTAAGAAAGAATGAATAAGATTTAGCATTTTAAAGGACAACAACATGACTATATTCAATAATAATTGAATTGTACATTTAAAAATAGCTAAAAGAATATAATTGAATTTTTTGTAACACAAAGGATAAGTGCTTGAGGGGATGGATACCCCATTTATCCTGATGGAATTATTACCCATTTTATGCCTATAACAAAATAGCTCATATACTTCATAAATATATACACCTACTATATATGCACAGAAGTTAAGAATAAATTTTTTTAAAAGAGCCTTTCCAATGTTAACAAAGAAAAAATAACATTTTTTAAATAGCTAATATTTAATGTTAATGGGTAATAGGCACTTTGCTTATATTTCACGTTCAGGGAACATTTAGCTGCTATGGTAGCAATATGAGGTAAGTATATATCATACCCATTTTACTGATGAAGAAACTGATGCATAGAGATTAACCTGGCAATTTCATATAGCCAGTGATATGGGGGCTCTGTGTCCCCACCTGAATCTCATCTCCAATTGTAATCCTCCCATGTTGGGGGAGGAGCCTGGTAGGAGGTGATTGAATCATGTGCGCAGACTTCTCCCTTGCTGTTCTCATAATAGCGAGTAAGTTCTCACCAGATCTGGTTGTTTGACAATGTGTAGCACTTCCCCCTTTGCTCTCTCTGTCTCTCCTGCTCCTCCATGGTAAGACATGCTGGCTTCCCCTTCACCTTCTACCATGATTGTAAGTTTCCTGAGGCCTCCAAGTCATGATTCTTGTAAAGCCTGTGGAACCATGAGTCAATTAAACCTCTTTTTTCATAAATTACCCAGTCTCAGGTAGCTCTTTATAGCAGTGTGAGAAAGAACCAATACAGCTAGCAAGTGGTAGCATTAAACATGGAACACAGGCTTAGGACCTTAGGCATAACATTTTGACTCATGGTTCCACAGGCCTAACATAACAAATCCACTAAAAGTAATGCTTTTCATGTAAAATAGTACCATGAAATTTAATAAAAACTGCTAGCTTAAGAAAGTAAACATAAATATCAAGTCCTTATTAGCCAATTGAAATTCAGAAACTTAATTTGTCTATTATAGTTTTTGAAAATGGTATGATTTTGACTTATAATTGTAAAAGCTATGGTTGATTTTCAAAGTGTTTTTTTATCATTAAATCCATAATAAAGTATGTTGATTTTTTTCTGCTTTCCAAATAATGTCTGTGCTAAGCAGACATTTTTTGTTTGTTTAATGCTCTTAACCAAAACAAGATATCTTGAGTCTTACCTCCTCTTTTAAGTATGGCTGATGCTCTAAATTCCAAATATCTCTGTCTCTTTAGAAATGAAAGTGTTTTTGAATCATTAACCATCTCCAAACACGCATACCCATAAGTAGTTGGTCTGAATTAACACTCCTTCCTCTCTCTTTATGGAATAATTCAGTTATTATAAACTCATTTAACTTGAAGATTCTGAAACAAAAGCTATATTTTTAAAAATCAGATGGGAGATAAATGTTTACACTCAACAAAATTTTCCAGAATGGTGTTAACTCTGTCTCTTTGATGTTTTCTGTCTGGATAAGAACGGCAATTTCAGGAAAATTTAAAGCAATATGGCCTATTGAAGAATATCAATACTTGCAGGTCCCTTCTCTCAGATGATGTAAAAGCCTTTGTATCCCTATATAAAAGCTCTAGTGATCATATTGGCAACAGATTTTTTTCGTTTCTCTAAGATTATTTGCCTATCTCCATAAGGAGGAATACCATCAAATATTATAAGTTTTTAGTTGTGAGTTCATGAAAGATGACATTATCAAGAATCAGCTGTTATGATAATTACATCAAGTCATGATGGCTTCTCCAAAAATATTTTCATTGGTCCTTTTGGAGTTTTCGAAACAAAACTGCCTTGATTTTTCAAAGCTTGGTCAAGTAAATTTTCCATTAACTTCTATACCATGACTGCACCTTTGGCTTTTTTACCATTGTATTTCAACTGTTGTAATGGTTTATTTCATTGCTAAGCACTTCCCTTTCTAATCATGGTCCTAAATTTGACCTAGTCCTGCAAATAAGAAACCTACAATCCAGAGCCAATCTTTTGTTTTGAAATGGTTATCTTTCTGGTTTCAAACAACTTTAGCAAATGTTATATTCTGAGGAGAGCTCAGGTTGCTAGTCTGAGCAGACAGCTTTTTCTTTCAGCTACAATGAATTTATCTAAAAGGTTAATAGTTGTATGCATTTCGATTAGGTTGATTACATGTAATGTGGCTCCTAATAAGAAAGGCTTCTTTTCCACCAGAAAATGGTTGAAGTATTCAAGGTCAAAATTTCTGTAATTTTTAAATGTATTTTAGTATCACACATCAGCATGAAACTATAGTTAGCATTCCTTCACATTTGAAGCTTTAGAAAGATTGCTCTTCAGAACACAGACTTTGGATTTATTTTGATTTTGACTGTGGACACTTTTTAAGCCTCACCACTCTCCCATCTCCTGCCCCACAGCTGTTTACTTCTGGGCATAAGAGAGCCTGGACACTCTTTCCTTTGGCACAAGCAGAAAGCTTAAACCATGAAATTTATAGGGGAATGTGGGAGGAAAGCCCAGATTCTAGACTCACCCCAAAATAAAAGCCAGCTTCAATTATCCTTTCTTTTTTATCTCAAGCCGTTTATAGACCTGTTGAGAGATTTTCTTGCCCTCTTCAGAAATCCTTCTTCAGTGAATAATAAAATATTTTATTCTCTCACAGTACATGGTAGCATTTTCGGGCTTGACAAGCAAAATTTTTGATTGACTTCCATCCATCTTTCTCTGAGTTTTTCCCAAAATTTCTTCATCTAGAAAAAAAGCACTTTGGCAAAAAGGTCTGCTACCTAATCTGTGTGGCTCTCTCCTAAGGTCAAAGAATCTTTTGGCTGTCATTTAATCAGTTGGAAACCTCTGGCTGGTGGCACTTTTGATCAAGTTTTGGTTGGACCTGCTGGTCTTGTTCCACCCACTCAGCCTAGCAGGCTGCACTCAGCTCATGCTACTGGTCCAGATCCCACACCTGCCAAGGACATGCTAGGCATGGAGCAGCAAGGGGTGTAAGAAAGCAAGTGCCAGGTCTGGCCACTGTGCATAGCCAGGTATGCCAGCTGCAGTAGGGAGGGCAGTTCTAGGCACCAGCCCAGGCGCTGGCTCCCTGTAAGGCTGTCCCTGGACCAGGCATACCACAAATGGCTTCCACCACAGGTGTCGGGGAAGGTGGTGGCACCCAGAAGCTTGGAGATTTGGAGATGCCAGGAATCACAGAGCCCCAAAGAGGATGTCACAGCCCTGGTTCAGGGAACTCCTAGGTCTGGGCTAACCAAAGGGATGCAGCTCTTCTCCCCTTCTCATTGCCTGTAACATGGCAATTTGGTGGTGGTGGTTGGGGGGAGTTTCAGCCCCGTTTGGCTTACGGCTCTTTCACTCCTGCTATCTGGCAGGCCTGAGTTCTTGTCCCATGTCCAGGAATAATGAGGTACATGGACAACTGGAGGGTGAGCAAGGTGAAAAGGAGCTTCATTGAGCAACAGAACAGCTCTCAGGAGACCCGAAGTGGGTGGCTCCTTTCCACAGGAAGGCTGTCTGAGCATTTGTGCAGCCCTCAGTGGAGAGGAGACCCAAAATGATTTTGGGTCCCATCTGTGAGCATCTGTGCAGCCCTCAGTAAAGAGAAGATCCGGAGTGGGTTGCTGCTGTCTGCAGATAGGTTATTCCAAAGTCTGTGCAGCCCTCAGCAGAAAAGAGATCTGGAATGGGTAGCTCCCATATGCAGGCAGGTTGTCCTGATGACTGTACAGCTCTGAGTAGAGAGGAGACCCAGACCCACAGTGGGTAGCTCCTCTCTGTGGGCAGGTTGTCCCATCATCTGCCTGAGTCTGGCTAAGTCAGTTTTTAATGGGCTTCAGAGGGGAGAAAGTGCATGCTGATTGGTTCATGGGCAGCCATGGGAAGGCCCAGGAAAGGCAGCGTAAGTTCTCACTCTGGACCATGGAACAGGCAGCCCATTGCTTCAGGCTGTTCCTGGCCTGAAGGTGGGGCTTCACTGGGTACCACTCTCTTTTTGCCCAGGAGCCTGTGCCTCCTGTCTCCATCAACTTGCCATCCATAGTGACCATGGTGTTCAGGCTGTTCATGCTGAGGGGCACCTGCAGGCCTGTGCTGAGACACCGTCCAATGCTCGTTGATGGCCAAAGTCTGGAGGGGGATGAGGAGGCAGGGGACTGGCATGTCAGTGCTGTCCCAAGCGCATGCACACCCAGCCAGGTCTCAACAGCGTCCAGGCTTGGCCTCAACTTTGCTCCAAAATCAGAGTGGGCACCAGGAGCAGAGAGAGGCCAGGCAGTGGGAGCAGCCACTTCCACGTCTGTAGGAGGAGGGGGCTTCCTGGGCCCCTGAGAGTACAGGGATGCCCAGGTCCACAGCCACAGCTAGGGAGCTGCAGTTGCATACGGGAGCACGGGGCTCTCACCTCACCGACTCAGAAGGGGTGGGGATTCCAACTGTTCCTGGCTTTCGCTGGCTGTGTAGAGTGCACAGCCACGGCTGTGCCTTCCCAGCTGCGGTGTCTTTGTAGCAGCCACTCCAGATGGGCCGCTGCTGCCATCAGTAAAACATGTCTGCTTATACAGCAGAAATTGACTTTTAGCGTCTCTAATTCAATTGACTAAATAATATGATATCCCTAGACACTTTTTCTTTCTCTTTTTAGGGAATACACAATGTGATTCCCCATTACATTTCGATAAGTGTTTAACTTTTAATGTGTATGTAACTTCTAAGTCCAGAATGTGTAGCTCATCAATCAGAATAAAGAGGCTTACAGAGGCCTAGGATAATTTGTTTACTTTGAGATATTATCTAATTCCAATGAGTTTCTTTCCTTCCCATCACTAACTCATCAATTAATACCTTGAATTCACTGTTATTATATTCTCACCTTTTAATCACTAAGTCTAGCTTTTCCCCACACTGCTTTCTGATTTTATTCTTACCATCTGTACTTAACTATGGTAAGTTCCTTATAAGTGTATGTGGTTTCTTTTCTGTTAAATACTAATATTCCTCTCTCAACCCACCCACTTTGTCCTGTCAATAACTGATTATCTTATCTCAGCTTTCTACAACCTTATTCCCCATATTGGAAGCAGATGCCCTTCCTGTTGCTTCTATAGTATTTTGTACTTTATCTCCTGAATAACTTACTACATTTTATTGCTATGACTTATTTACTTTTTTGAGCCTCATCCAACTTAAGCACTGTGAAGCTTCAGTTTATGTACGATTTCTTCAATAATATATTTTCAGAAGTACTAGCATAGTGCTGGTCAATAAATATACATACAAGAAAGTCAATAAAAATATGTTGAATTAGTGAAGCATTAAACTTATAAAACAGTCATCAAATTAATTGTTAGTAGAGTAGGCAATAATTTTCCTTCAAATTGGAGAATAAAATTTTTGGAATTGGTAGCTTGTCAGAAAGACCGGGGTTGACTTTTAAGACTGAGTTTCCCTAGAATAAGCCTTTCTCTTTTCTGCATTGAGTGAATAACAATTTGTTTGCCAGTTTCTTAGCCATATCCTAAAAGTAAACATCAATTATTTCTCTCTGCCAATTTAAGACAACTACTTCTTTCTTGCATGGGAAAAGCTGATAAAAGCACAGGAAATACATTTCTGCAAAGTTAATCAATTGATTTGTTTTTTGTTCCAAATAAATTAACAAACATTCTTGTATTACCAGACTTTAAAAGGACAATACCAGGAAAAAAGCACATAAATGAACATTAAGGATCACTGAGGAACGAGAATTGAAAGATAATTTCAGGAAGAAAAAAATTTAATGATATCAGGAAGAAAAAAATTATCCCCAGTAGACCTGTCTTAAAAAAAAATTGTTCAAGTGAAATGAAAGAATGCTCATTAGTAACATCAAAACATAACAGAAATGACATTAGCAAGATGGCAAAATAGGAGTCTCCTCCAGTCCTACTCCCTTCCATAGAAATCCAACTGGTAACTATACACAGGCGAAAATACCTTTGTGAATATCCCAGAACTTGAGAATGAGGCTAAGACCCTCACGTGGACTTGGAGTTCTTAGACTACAGAACTGAAAAAAGCTACATTTGAAGGCAAAGAGTAACAGTAGCAGCACACACAGAGGATTTTCCTGTACCTACAGTTTCTACAGTGGCAAAAGTTAGTTGGAGATAGTCATTCCGCTTCTCCAGTTTTCTAGGACTCTTCACAGGAGGCTCACTCCTGTCTCATCTCATGGGAAACGCTGAAAGAACCAGAAGAGCTAGACCACCTGGGTCTGTTATAGACAAACAACGTAGGTGGGGCTCACAACAACTAGAAGGCAGATCTTTGCTCTTCCTTTGCATTCTGAAAAACAGAGGTGTCATACCTGAGAGATTAGCTAATAGCACTGTACTGCAGAAAGCACGGTCCACAAGTCTACCTGGCTCAATTCCCTAGCCAGCTTCCTGTCATAGCCCTGGTGTCCTCTTTAAGTTTTCCCCAGGCTAGGAGGCAACTCTAAGTCCACAATTACCCATCTAACCCTAGTATCTGAGCAGCCACTCCACCAAACCTCAGTGCTCTGCTTAAGCCTACCCTCATCCTTGAAGCAAGCCCAACTTCATGCATATATGTCAAGCATAAGCTCTGCCCCTGCCCTTATCATGTGACTAAGCAGCAACTCCAGAGACTTCTCCCAGACTCAGAGCTCAGCACATGGCCCTACCCTACAACAGTATTGTTCAGCCAGGGAAGACAACTCTGCAATTCTGCCTTATCAGAGACAATTTCAGAGCTCAGCCAGAAGCTCAACCTGATGACAGAGTTTAACCAGTGGTCTCATTGGACAATGGAGCACAGCCAGCAGTACCATATGACTGCAGTGCATAGGAAGTTATCTATCCCAGCTATAGAACCTGGTACCAAGAACTGCCTGTTTGTGGCTCCTACTAGCCAGCCCACTCAGAATCCTGGGCTAGACTAAATAGTAAAGGTCTATCACTACCAAAGATCACCTGCAAGGGCTGGAAAATGTGGCCATCTCCTGAAGTGTTCAGACACAACTGTAAGGGTACTAAAATTATGAAATTCTAGGAAAATAGGACACCACTAAAAGAAACTAATGAAGCTCCAAAAATGGACTTAGAGGAAATGCAGATCTATGAAATGGCTATCAAAGAATACAGAATTATCCTCTTAAGGAAGTTCTGGAAACTCCATGAAATTTCCAAAAAAAAAAAAAAAAGAAAAACAATTTATGAGCAAAATGAGAATATTGACAAAAAAATCAAAACAATAAAAAAAGTAGACATTTTAGAGATAAGAATAAATAACAGAACTGAAAAATGTAATAGGAGGTTTCAACAGCAGACTTAACCAAGCAAAAGAAAGAATAATTGTGCTTGAAGATAGCATATTGAAAATTATTCAGAGGAGGAAAAAGCAAATGAAAAAGAATACAGAAAGCTTATGGGAATTATGAAACAATATGAAATGAACTAACTTTTGCATAATAGGGATTAAAGAAAGAAGAGGAGGGGAAAGATGTAGAAAGCCTGAAGAAATAATAGCAGAAAATTTTCAATGTCTGGAAAAAACAGCAACATCTAGGTATAGGAAGCATTCAGGTTGCCAATTAAATTCAACCTGAAGAGGAGACAAATTATGATCAAATTATCAAAAATCAAAGATAAGAAAAAAATACTGAAAGCAGCAAGATATAAGAAACATATTACATTCAAGGGAGCCTCAATACAGATTTCATCATATTTCTCAGCAGAAACCCTACAGGCTAGAAGAGAATGAGATATTATATTCCAAGTAGTTCAGAAAAAATACTTCCATCAAAGAATAGTTTACTCAGCAATGTCCTTTAGAAATAACAGAGAAACAGAAACTTCCTAGACAAACAAAAGCTAAAGAAGTCAAGCGCCATCAGGCCTACCTTTCAGAAATTCCTAAAGGGAATTGTTTAAACAGAAACAAAATGATTTTGGCCTAAAAGTATAGGATATCTTGAACCAAGGACTTAACAAGTAGGTCATAGGTAGTTTCAAGGATTTTCTGATTTGCAATTGGTTAAGGAAGAATAGCTTTGTTTAAAATTTTGGGTTCAGCAGAAAAGAATGTTAGCCCCGGCTCATGGGTGTGACTTTCTTCAAGCACCTCAGGAAAATTAGAAAAAAAGTATGGTGGTCATAATTCAGTCTCAGTTTCTCCTTATGTGAGGTTTGCCTACCAGCAGATCTGTTTGGTGAAGGTCTGTTTCTGAAAAACAACTCAGAGATTCTATCTTCAGTTTCAAGGGGAACAAAACATCCCATGATTCCAGCTTCCTTGGCTATTATTTTAGGCTACTACTGCCCTTCTTGCTTATCAAGTTGCTTATCTACTTCTCAGGGATAGGTAGGCACCTGTAATTTCTCTTGAAGAAACACAGAAGATTTTCCTTTATTTCCATGCATGAGGGGACTTGTCAGGCCCCTCACAGAAGGTCCTAGCTCTGTCTTGGTAATTAATAACATTGAACATCTTTTCATATACCTGTTGGTCAGGTATATGACCTGGTTTGCAATTTTTTTATAAAAATTGCAAAAAATTGCAATTATAAAATTGCAAAAATTGGTTTGCAATTTTTTTATAAATAGAAATGTCTGTTCACATCTTTTGCCCATCATTTTGTGGATGTTTTGGTTTGTTTGTTTGTTGTTTGTGCTATTAATTTGTAGTAGTTTCTTATAGTGTATGTATATTTTGGAAATTAACTCCTTATCAGATATATGGTTTGCAAATATTTTCCCCCGTTTTGTAGTTGCCTTTTAATTCTGTTGGTTGTTTCATTTGTGTGTAGAAGGTTTTTAGTTTGATGTAGTCTCAGTTGTCAACTTTGGCTTTTGTTGCCTATGCTTTTGGTGTCATATCCAAGAAATTCCTAAAGCCATATGTAAAGAAGCTTTCTTCTTATGTTTTTTTTTTTTTTTTTTTTCAGACAGAGTCTCGCTTTGTCGCCCAGGCTGGAGTGTAGTGGCACGATCTCTGCTCATTGCAAGCTCCGCCTCCTGGGTTCACACCTTTCTCCTGCCTCAGCCTCCCGAGTAGCTGGGTCTACAGGCTCCCACCACCACGCCCGGCTAATTTTTTTTGTATTTTTAGTAGAGACGGAGTTTCACTGTGTTAGCCAGGATGGTCTCAAGCTCCTGAACTCGTGATCTGCCCACCTTGGCCTCCCAAAGTGATGGGATTGGAGGCGTGAGCCACCACACCCGGCCCTTATGTTTTCTTTTATGAGTTTCACAGTGTCAGATCTTTAATTCATTTAGGATAACTTTTTTGGTATTGTATAAGATTAGAGTTTTATTTTATTGCATATGACTATGCAGTTTTTTCAACACCATTTGTTGAAAAAACTATCTTTTTTACATTGTGTGTTCTTGGCACTCCTGACAAAGATCAGTTGACCACATATAGACATCCTTTCTTTATATGAGTGTCCAGAATGAAGACTTGTTAATTCGTTTGGACCTTACAAATAGCTAGACAAGGTATTACTAACCATCTTTTAAATTTACCCAGCTACTGAAAATTTATCACAAAACATCAGAAAGAAAAACATTGTTTTAAAATAATTACATTAGAATGTTAATTTTTAATACTTTAAGTGTATCTGGCTGCCTTATGAGTGAATGTAATAATCTGATCACTATTGAGAAGTTAAGTGGCAGACATAAGTTAAACAGAGAAAGAACACTTAAAAAGAGAAAATACCATAAAAAGTAAGAGAAAATATTAATTTTCCTTAAAATCTGAAAATAGTTAACCTTTCTTATAATAGTTTTTCTGATGTAATTAAGTCACACTTTTGAAGAAGCTTAAAAGCATGAAGACCAAATAAAATACAACAATTTTACATTAAAAATTATTAGATGTGAAGAACAATTCAAAGTGATGAATCCAGCCTGTGTATTTCTAAATAACTGAATGTCGATTATCTGAGGCATTGTCTCTTTCTGTTTCTTCAAAGCAGATGGAATAATTAAATCATTTAGAAAGTTTGCTCTTTGGTATGCTTGATTTGCAAATTTGGAGTTCTTTAAGAAGGAAAAGATGAATAAAAATACATACATTTTCAAATGTACATGCTTTCTAAGGATACTTGTTGACTTAACTGGTAATATTATAGTTTAGAACATTTAAGCAGCAAATGTCAGTTCCAATAAGAGAATAATGTGCATTGATAGAAACATCATAGCATCAGTAGGAAGGGTGGAAGCACATTGACTTGCTAATGAAGCAGTCAGTCTCCAACTGCCTGGGTAGATAATGCAGTATTATTTAAGAAGGAAGGATGCGTCTTGCAACATGGGTCACTAGGACGCCAATGACTATGAAGCTGTGCCCATAAAGAAATAAGCAGTACATGCAGCTTGTGGATACAGCCTTATTAACTGTCAGGCACACCTGTTTATACAATTCCTCAAACAGAACCTGTCGGCATCTTGAACGAGAAGATAGCATACGGTATGAATGAAAATGAGACTGTCATTTAAGAATTGCTTATTCTAAGACAAATTTTGACTCCCTTAAAATAATGTGCCTCTTCTGTAGCTGACTAGCCCAAACCAATTTGTCACACCCTCTCTGTAAGGACATCTATATTTGTTTTAAGCAACACTGCTTAAGAAATTTCCCTATACCTGATGAAAGCAAGCTAGCCCTTTCTGAGCATAAAAGCAAATCAGGGGAAGTACAACTCTCTGGAAGAATGCAAGGAATATAAGCGGTTGCTAAAGTAAAAATTTTACTTTATAAAAGTTAAACAGACAAAAAAGACTATTGAAAACTATTGGGATAAAGGGGATATTGAAAACATCTCCCTGAGAAAAAGGGCTGGAGAGCTGGAGTGATGTGGTTATTGGTTGAGGGTGTCCAGGTTCTCGGCATCTTGAACAAAGAATTGGACAAAATGCACAAACAAAGCAAGGAAATAATTAAGAAATTTATTGAAAATGAAAGTACACTCCACAGTGTGGGAGTGGGCCTGAGCACAGGGGCTCAAGGGCCCCATTACAGAACTTTTGGGAGATAAATACCCTCTAAAGGATCCCATTGGTTACTTGGTGTATACCCTATGTAAAGGAAGAGGATGAAGTTAAATTACAAAGTCATTTACTCAGCGTACGCCCTATGGAGAGGATGTTTCCTGTCATAGCTGAAGTGTGAATTGGCCTTATGTTCCCTGCCTCCGGACCCTACTTTCCTGCCTCATTTCCCCACTGAGAGATGTGATCCCTGTAAATCTTTATGGGAGGCAGAGGGACCAATGGACTTTTCTCTGTAAATGCTTCATGCTGGTTTGGGGCATAGTTTTACCAACTGGGGACCATGGAACTCTTACCCTGCTCTGTCTAGTGGAGGCAGGGTAGCTTCTTGATGGCCAGAGGCAGTGTCTTCACCTGGAATTGGCTGGAACCTTTTTTGCATGATTATCTGAAGCTTGATGGTCTCTAGGTGAGAGGAAATGAATTTGGTTGAAAGATTTAATGAGCACTTTAGGGGGTAAATACCAATGCTGTCAGGAATGTTTGTTATAGAGATTTGCAGGAGACAAAACCAAAACCTGTTCAAGAGCCTGTGTTTCCTTAAAGTCTTAGCACATTTTGGTTTTAGTTTGGTTTGGTCTGTTTGGGCCTAGTTTATGAGCTTAGTTCAATGCAGTGGCCTCCCAGAATTTTGTTTAAAAAACTCTACCTTTTTGCTCAGGTTCTCACTTAGGTGAGAGTGTGACCAAAACTTAGGGCCTTATTACCACTCTCAGTTACCATCATTTTGGGTTTCTGGTCTCAGCAGGTCATTTATAGGTTATGGTGTCCACATGGTTGCATATTTCTCTCAGCTCCTATTATTCCAGTCAAAGAGAGACCACATGACGTTCTAGAGATGGTTGCATGCAAGCATTTAAAACCTTTGAGAGAATACAGCACACCAGGGGACTATGATTATGACTACTGGAAGAATAATACCAAGAGTTCAGAGTATGCTCCTTACCCAAGGTTCCCATAAACCAAACCTCCTAAAATCAAATAGCTCAAAGGATGAGCTAGATAAAGAATCTATTTACTTAACTAAGCTGTTTATTCGTTAATCCGCCACAACTGAATTCCTATAATACCCAATGTTTTCTCCATAGGCCATGAGTGTCAGCAGCTGCAAAGATACTTCTCTGTTCAGCCAATTCCATTATGACTTTCACAAAGGAATTTAAAATTTGTTGTATCTTTTACAGTAGAATTTATCATAGATCCTATCATGAGGGATATATTTCTAATCATTGCTTCTTTTACTTTAAACCATGGAAAAAGGACCTAACAAAGGATGCCCTTCTAGAAGACTGATGGCCTCCTGACAGTGTTCTCTTTAACCCATGAAGTGGGTTAAGAGGAGTGAACCAATGTTTTGTTTCTGACTGATGATGAAGCAACATATGTACCATTAAAGTTTCTTACCTACAATGGGCTTTTATTTTTTATTAATCAAAGTATAAGGTTATCCATGCATAAGGCTGGCTGTAAACTCCTTCACAAAAGTATACCCATAAGTGCACATCACAGACCCCTTTTCCACTTCTATTGCTCACAGAGGCATAATCAAGGGAAAATATTCAAAGATAAGAGTTTCAGGATAGAAGTCTTAATCTGTGAACTTGGGAAAAGCTGTTAACATCAAGGATGCCATCCTCCTCTGGGGAGAAACCTCCCTGGTTAGTTTTATTCTAAGGGTTGCAATGGGTGTGGGTGTACAGTTCCAAGAGTGTGGAAGGACCCTTCTCAGATATGAGACTATGAACCCAAAGTTCAAGGTCCCGAGGTTTTCTTGTAGTGTGGATGGTAAGGACAGTCTTTCTCCAACATTCCCAAAAGATCCAAACCATAACAAGCTTTCTTTACCTGGTGAAAATACACTGTAGCATAATAATCTACTGTTATAACATCAGGCCTCTTGCATGGGAAAGCTTTTATACAAACAGAAAACATGCATTGAAAATAACAATTGAATGAAATCCCTTTATAAAATATTTAAATGACCCACTAGATGACCAAATGTACCTGAAGCATTAATTGTTTTCCCAGGAATATGGGGCCAAACATTGATTATAAACTATTTTAGTAATTTGTAAGTCACCACACCAAAATATTTAATTTGGATGATTTTATTTTTTCCATGATGAGTCATGGAATTCAGAACTTTTAATAATAAAAGCTTTTAGGACTCAGGAAGGGCAAGGTGGCCATGCTGGTTCTCCATGACTCCATGCTTAATTAACATTAGACTTATATCCACTTGAATACCAGTTGTTTTTCCAAGTTAGGTGCATAGCTTTGATAACTGATGGGTTATGATAGATAATTTGACTTAGATCATGGAGTTTATTTAAATTGTATATTTAAACAATTTCAGTATCAGCTGGTTTAACATGAAAATCTGAGAAAGTATTTTCTTGGTATTTAATTTTTTTGTTCTACTTGGGTTAATAGCTTTATACAGGGAAATTTGATTATTTCTGTGGTTTACAATAGCTTAACATAATAATCATAATTATAATTGATAGCATATACTTAGACATTAGAATTTTATTATTTATTGTAATTTTTTTGTTGTTGTTTTTAAGACACAGTCTCACTCTGTCGCCCAGGCTGGAGTACAGTGGTGCCATCTTGGCTCACTGCAAGCTCCACCTCCCAGGTTCAAGTGATTCTCTTCCCTCAGGCTCCCAAATAGCTGGGATTACAGGTGCACACCACCATGCTTAGCTAATTTTTGTATTTTTAGTAGAGACAGGGTTTCACCGTGTTAGCCAGAGTGTTCTCCATCCCCTGAACTCGTGATCTGCCTGCCTGGGCCTCCCAAAGTGCTGGGATTACAGGCATGAGCCACCGCGCCTGGCCGAATTTTGTGTAATTTTCTAGATTTCCTGTGTTAGATCTGAACTCCAGTATAATATTGAATGTAAATAGTGGTGAAAGACATTCTTACTGTGATTCAACATTAAAAAACTTTTTCATTACTATTGTTTGACATTATCTATTTTTCATAAATTCTCTTTCTCAAAAGGGAAAATTTTCTATCTCAATTTTCTGAATTTCTTTTATTTCTTATATCATGAATGGTACCTACATCAGATGCAAAAGTTACATTATTTTTCTGCTTTTTATAATTAATGTAGTGAATTAAATTAATTGATTTTTCAAATGTTAAACTAACCTTGCCATTCTCACATCAAGTATACTTGTGCAAGATATGTTATTATAGTATTATTATTTGATGGATTCAGTTTGCCAATATTTTCTCAAGTGTTTTTGCATCAATGTTTATAAAAAAAATTTGTCTATAAACTTTACTTCCAATTTCCTTGTCTAATTTGTAATCAGGGTTACCAAGTACTCACAAAATGAAGTAATTTTTTCTTCTTCCTCTTTCTTGTAAAAGCTACTGTAAAAGACTGATATAATTCCCATAAAAGTATCCAAAATACTACTTGGATATTTATGTTTTGGATTACAAATTCAATTTCTTTAAGAGATATAGGTCTATTTAGATTTTCTACAACGTATTTGTTAATTTTGGTAATTTGCATCTTTCAAGGGATTTGGCCATTTCATTAAATTGTCAGATTTACATCTATAAAATTGTTAATAACATACATTTCATTTTTTTAAATGTATAAGATCTAAAGTAATGTCTCATGTTTCATTCTCAAAGATTTGTGATTTTTGCTTTCTCTATGTCTTGATTAGATTAGCTTGAAGTTTAATAACTATTTGGACTTTAAAAAAATGCCAACTTGTTTCTTTTACTTTTTTATTTTGCTTTTCTGCTGTTAGTACTTAATTTCTATTCTTATCATTATTATTTTATTTTTTCAATTTTCTTTAAGTTTAATTTGCTTCAATTTTTCTGACTACTTAATTAAGGCATTATATTTGATCATTGGTTTTCAATGATAAATATTTACAATTTTTACTATAAGCATTATAAATACTTTAACTGCATTGTGACAATTCATATGTCACCTTTGTATTATTATTCAGTTCAAATATTTTATTTTTCAATTAAAAATTTTTGACATGTTTTATTTAGAGGTAGAATTATTGGTTTTTCCAAGTATTTGTAGATATTTTAGATCTTGTTTTGTCTTGTTTTTGATTTCTAATTTAATTCAGCCTTGGTTAGAAAATATTCTATAAATGATTTCCATATTGTGAAATCTCTTGAGAATTGCTTTGTAATTGGGCATCTTGATGAATGTTACACATACACTTGAAAGAGTGTTTACTAATTGCAATTTTGTTTACTAATTGCAATTTTGGCTTCATAATATTTACTTAGCATATCTGTTTCTTTAAAGTGAATGCTTACTTTACACTATATTAGATGTGTGACTTATTTTATTTTTTAGTCTGACAGTTCCCAAATTTTAATTGAGGTATTTTGTCCATTCAAAATTAATTTAATATTTGAAATATTAGATTCTATCTTCACATAGTTTTATGTTTCCTATTTGCACCATTGGTTCTTTCGGTTCTCTTACTCATTCTCTGCCTATTAATACAAATAATTGTTTTTATTAATCCACTTTGTTGTTTCAATTGAAATTTTAATGACATACTTTTGTATTATATTTTCAGTTATTAATTTTGCTTTACATTTGCCATTTTTATCATTCTTCATGAGGTCATGCATACTATTTTTTCCACTGAGCATTATTTCCTTTCAATTTGAAGTTTTATTCATTTATCCTCATAGGTTTTATATATCAGGCTGTGATTTTATTTGCTACTCATTTTAAAATATTTTCCCTGACCTTATATTTATATGTTACATGTGTTTACTTTTATATTTTGCCTCACTAAACATGTTGCATTTATTTATTTATTTTTTATTTATTTATTTATGTATTTATTTTTGGCTGGCACTGTTCCTCATCAGAAGTCTGCAGTCATTTTTTTTTTAGATGCCCGAATTAAATCTTTTCCTCTGCCCATTGTTTTTTGTTTTCCTTTTTAAATTCCATTTTTATCGACTTAATTATAGTGTGCCTACAGTGGTGGTCTTCTGTTTATACTGGTTGGTGTTTTTTAAGCTTTTTGATTATATTGACTAATATTTTCATCAAACTGACAAAACTACACCCATGATTAATTCATGTTAAGTTAATTTATTGTCAATATTCTCTACTTGTGAGATTTTAATGAAATATATGTTATACTGTTTAATATAATTAATCTGGTCACTAAAGACAGTGAATTTTTTTTATTACTTTATCTAAATGTGCTTTGGTTTAGATAATTTCTCTTTAAAGTGTTGTCATTGTCACTGATTTTTCATCTTTAATGTCCAATAATCTATTAAATATTCTATGAACTTTTTTATTTCTAATTTATTTTTTATTTCTAGAATTTTAATTTTGTTTATTTTCTTAAATAGATTCACTTTTTGAAGTAAATTTAAGTTCTTAGCAAAATTGAAAAGGAAAGTACAGATTTCCCCTCTACCCTCATTCCCCCACATGCATAGCTGCCCACATTATCAACTTTCCACTCCACAGCAGTACATTTGTTAAAACTGATGAATGTGCATTGATACATCATTACCCAGAGTCCATAGTTTACATTAGGGTCATCTTGGGTGTTGTATGATCCTTGGGTTTGGACAAATGTATCATGCCATCTGTCTACCATAATAGTATCATACAGAGTAGTTTCACTGCCTGTGTATCTTTCCCTGCCTTCTTAGCCCTAGCAACCAGTGATCTATTTACTTTCTCCATAGTTTTCCCTTTTCCAAAATGTATAGTTGAAATTATACTGCATGTAGTGTTTTCAGATTGGCGTCTTTCATTTAGTTGTATGCATTTATGTTTCCTTCATGTCTTTTCATGGCTTGATAACTCATTTCCTTTTAGCACTGGGTAATATTCCATTACCTGAAAGTACCAGAGTTTATTCAATCACCTACTAAAGGATTACATCATATTATGTTTTGGTAATTATGAATAATACTGCTATAAACAACTATACCCAAGTTTTTGTGGTGATATAAGCTTTCACCTCTTCTGGGTAAATAACAAGGAGCATAATTTTTGAATCGTGTGATAAGAATATGTTTAGTTTTGTAAGAAACTGGCAAACCGTCATCCAAGTGACTGCCATTTTGGATTCTCATTGGGATTCTCACCAGCAATGAATAAGAGTTCCTGTTGCTCCACATCCTTGAAAGTATTTAGTGCTGTCAGTGTCCTGGATTCTGGCCAATCTAATGGCTGTGTACTGCTATCTGATTGTCATTTTAATTTCCATTTCCCTGATGACATGTGAATTGGAAGATCTTTTCATATGTTTATTTCCCATCCATGTGTCTTTTTTGGTGAGGTATAAGTGCTTGGACCATTTTTAAAGTGAGTTGTTGTATTAGTCCATTTTCACACTGCTAATAAAGACATACCCTAGACTGGGTAATTTAAAAAGAAAAAGAGGTTTAATAGACTCACAATTCCACATGGCTGGGGTGGCCTCACAATTATGGTGGAAGGTGAAAGACATGTCTTACATGATGGCAGAAAAGAGAGAATTTGTGCAACGAAGCTGGCATCTATAAAAGCATCAGATTTCATGAGACTTACTACCACCAGAACAGCATGGGAAAGACCTGCCACCATGATGCAATTACCTCCCACGGAGTTCCTCCCACAACTTGTGGGAATTATGGAAGACAGAATTCAAGATGAGATTTCCGTGAGGACGCAGAACCAAACCATATCATTCCACCGCTGGCCCCTCCCAAATCTCATGTCCTCACATTTCAAAACCATACATGCCTTCCCAACAGTCCCCCCAAGTCTTAACTCATTTCAGCATTAACTCAAAAGTCCATATCCAAGGTCTCATCTGAGACAAGGCAAGTCCCTTCCACCTATGAGCCTGTAAAGTAAAAAGCAAGTTAGTTACTTCTCAGACACAATGAAGGTACAGGCATCGGGTAAATATATCCATTCCGAATGGGAGAAATTGGCCAAAACAAAGGGGCTGTGGGCCCCATGCAAATCCAAAACCCAGTGGGGTAGTCATTTCCTAAAGCTCCAAAAGGATCTCCTTTGACATCATGTTTCACATCCAGGTCATGCTGATGCAAGAGGTGGGTTCCCATGGTCTTGGGAAGCTCCATCCCTGTGGCTTTGCAGGATACATCGCCTCTCCTGACTGCTTTCCTGGGCTGGCATTGAGTGTGTCTGCAGCTTTTCTAGGTGCATTGTGCAAGCTGTCAGTGGATCTACCATTCTGGTGTCTGGAGGATGGTGGCCTTTTTCTCACAGCTCTACTAGGCAGTGCACCAGTGGGGACTCTGTGTGGCGGATTCAACCCCACATTTCCCTTCTCCACTACCCCAGCAGAGGTTTTCTATAAAGGCCCTGCCCCTGTAGCAAATTCTGCCTGGACATCCAGGCATTTGCATACATCCTCTGTAATCTAAGTTGAGGTTCCCAAACCTCAATTTTTTACTTCTGTGCACCTGCAGGCTCAACACCATGTGGAAGCTGCTAGAGCTTGGGGTTTGCACCATCTGAAGCCATAGCCCAAACTGTGCCTTGGTCCTTTTAGCCATAGCTGAAGTGACTGGGAAACAGGGTACTAAATCCCTAGGCTGCCTACAGCAGGGTACCCAGCCCAGGAAATGGCTTTTTCCTCTTAGGCCTCCAGGCATGTGATGGGAGGGGCTGCCACAAAGTCTCTGACACGCCCAGGAGACAGTTATTCTATTGCCTTGGCGATTAACATTTGGCTCCTCATTACTTATGCAAATTTCTGCAGCAGGCTTGAATTTCTTCTCAGAAAATGGATTTTTCTTTTCTATTGCATCATCAGGGTGCAAATTTTTTGAACTTTTGTGCTCTGTTTCCCTTTTAAAACTGAATCTTTAACAGCAACCAAGTCACCTCTTGAATGCTTTCCTGCTTAATTTCTTCTTCCAGGTACCCTAAATCATCTCCCTCAAGTTCAAAGTTCCACAAATCTCTAGGGCAGGGGCAAAATGCCACCAGCTGTTTGCTAAAACATAGCAAGAGTCACGTTTACTCCAGTTCTCAACAAGTTTCTCATCTCCATCTGAGACCACCTCAGCCTGGACTTCATTGTCAATATCACTATCAGCATTTTGGTCAAAGCCATTCAACAACTCTCTAGGAAGTTCCAAACTTTGTCACATTTTCCTGCCTTTTTCTCAACCCTCCAAACTCTTCCAATCCCTGCCTGTTACCCAATTCCAAAGTTGCTTCCACATTTTTGGATATCTTTATAGCACTGCCCTTTCAATATCAATTTACTGTATTAGTCTGTTTTCACACTGCTGATAAATATATACCCAAGACTGGGTAATTTATAAAGAAAAAGAGGTTTAGTGGACTCACAGTTCCAGGTGGTTGGGTAGGCCTCACAATTGTGATGGAAGGTGAAAGGCATGTCTTACATGGCGGCAGACAAGAGAGAATTTGTGCCGGGAAAATCCCATTTATAAAACCATCAGATCTCATGAGACTTATGCACTATGAGGAGAACAGCACGGGAAAGACCTGCCCCCATGATTGACTTACCTCCCACTAGATCCCTCACACAAAACATGGAAATTATGGTAGCTACAATTCAACATGAGATTTGGATGTGGACACAAAGCTAAACCATATCAGTTGTTCATCTTCTTATTGCTGCCTTTTAAGCATTCCTGATATATTTTGGATAACAGTCTTTTAGCAAATATGACTTTTGCAAGTGTTTTCTCTCAATCTTTGATTTTTCTATTCTCTTGGGTGTGTCTTTCACAGAACAGGCATTTTTAACTTTAACAAAGTCCAGTTTATGAATTCTTTCTTTCTTTCTTTCTTTCTTTTTTTTTTTTTTTTGGATACCAGGTGTCACACTGTTGCCCAGGCAGGAGTGCTATGGCACAATCACGGCTCACTGTAGCCTCAACCTCCTGGGCTCAAGCAGTCCTCTCCCTCAGCCTCCCAAGTAGCTGGGACTACAGTCACATGTCACAATGCCTGGCTATTTTTTTGTGTGTTTGTTGTATTTTTTGTAGATACAGGGTCTTGTTATGTTGCCCAGGTGAGTCTTGAACCTCTGGGCTCAAATGATCCTCCCACCTTGACCTCTCACAGTAATAGGGTTACAGGTGTGAGCCACCACGCCTGACCAATTTCTTTCTTTCATCGTATCTTTGGTGTTGTATCTAAAAAGTCATTGCCAAATTCAAGATTATCTACATTTTCTTTTATGTTATCTTGTTGTTAAATAGTTTTTTATTTTACATTTAGGTCTGGGATTCATTTCGAGCTAATTTTTCTGAAAGGTATAAGGTCTATGTGTGAAGTTTGTTTGTTTGTTTGTTTTGGCATATGGATGTCCAATTGTTCTAGCATCATTTGCTGACAAGTCTGTCTTTACTCCATTATGTTGCCTTTGTTCCTCTGTCAAAGATTAGTTCACTATATTTGTGTGGGCCTATTTCTGGGCCCTATATTTTGTTCCATTGATCTGTTTATCTATTCTCTTCCCAACACTACACTGGCTTGATTACCATTGCTTTCTTGTTTTTGTTTGTTTGTTTGTTTTTAGTTGTTTCCTTTTTTCATCATATTTTTACTCATTATATGCATAAATTCTTTTATGTTTTATTTTAAATTATTGAGCACAATCATAACTACTGTATTGTTTTAAAGTACCTATTTTATCACTCATTATCAGGTTTATCTTTTGGTCTTTCTCTACTGGCTGATTTTTCTTTGCCTTATGTTTTAAGTTTTTGTAATTTTTGCATATCCAGTAATTTTTAAAAGGATGGATTATGTGGAGTTTTCTTGCTGTTATCATTCTTTAAAGTGTTTAACTTTGTTACGGAAGGCAGTTAATCTATTGACTCATGAATTTGATCCTGTTGAGGTATGGTTTTAGGCTTTGTTAGTTCATACCTCCTGTAGTTGTTACCCTGTGGATAGATTAATTTCTCTGAGGTTTCTTTCTAATACCAAGCTATTCAATAAGTTCTATCAGTGGGATGGCTGGAACTACACTAACACCCAGAACTGAGAGTTTTGCATCATCCCTGATTAAATTAAATTATCCCAATAGTTCCTTAAACGCTTCAGGCCACAGAGTCTTGTCACATGCATTTATAGCTTTTCACTTAGTCACAAACTCAAAGAAACCCCTCTTCAGCTTTCTGAAGCTTTCATTTGCAGAGATTTTTCTGCTCTAGAAACCAGTGTAAATTCTAGCCACTGGCAGGCCACACCTTGGTCTCCACTTCCTCTGTCTAATGAGAGCAATGCTTTTTGTTAGGGCTCAATGACTTTGTGTTGTGGTTTGTGAAGTGCACCCAGTTAGAATACTGGGATGAATACTGAGTTTGTCTCATTTGTTTTTCTTATAGAAAAGATCAGATCCCTGAATTGTTCTATGCTTTAAAATGTTAGTTTATATCTATTTTCCTATTTTATAATAATTTCTGGTAGGAGGGTAAGTCAGATACATATAAGTCATGACAAAAACTCAGTATGTTCTCTTTTATTTAGTCTTTGAAGTACATCCCATTTTTATGGAAGATTAAGAAAGAGATTAAGAGAGAATTTATGTATGAGGGTAGGTGAGTGAAAAGGACAAAGATCTGTCTGATTCCAAAGCCCATAAAAGCCTAGCTTTTTATGACACTTATTTTATATTCCTTTTTTTTTTAATGGTAGTTATGATTCGAGAACTGTTTCTCATGTTTTAAAGAGATTCTGCTAAGAATGAAGTTGTTAATGTGTTCAGATTCAGCATAAAAGGGGCTAATTAAATAGTAGTGTGTTTTATGGTAATTATCTGCATTACTTTTATAAAAATATTTCCCGGAACCAAGTACTAAATAAAAGTGCCCCATAAACATAGGCTTGTGTTTACTTGCTGTGCGCTTGGTCTTGCTGTGGGATTATCCTTTAATTACAAGTTTAGCCTTGGCAGCCTAGATGAATAGGAAATCATGTTAAAACTCCAATCTGCCATTTCTCTTATTCTTCTGCCAGTCAGGGAGCTCTACTTGAGAAATAAATTGAAAATGCCTACATGCAGATACCTTGAAGGAATAATTGCTGTAAATGCAAAATTTACAAAAAAGATGAGTTACGCTAAAGAGCTAAGAAAAAAATCAAGCAATTCATGTTATGGGATTTCAGAATTAAAATGAGATGACTTTTTAAAACATTAATTATGCTTTTGTCAAAACAGTACACAGATGGCAGTGGGAATTTGACAAATAACATAGTTAAATAATGATCAAAGGGTGCATAGAACAAATTCACTTTTGAACATACACAAAAGGTGAGGATAACTTTTGTAACTTTAAGTATACAAATATTTTATATCTGCACTTTACCATTTTTCAGTGAAAGCCTATACTTTCTATTAACTCACTTACCCAAAGAATTAGATATATCTAACATGACAGTGAAAATGCTGATGCTATCTGTATTACAGATACTGATGCTATCTGTACTAGTCATTGAGTGTTACGCTTGATTAGTTGAAATTCAATTTATGAATAATGAGGCTGAAAGCATGAAATAGAAGCACTAATTTAATGTTATACATAATTCTATTATTAAAATAATAGGATCATTTTACACATAATCTTATATTCAAAACACTTACCTCTACAATTATCTTATGTGAATGTTACTTCAAAGTGGTCATATTTTAAATTGTGAGGCTCATGTTTCTGATTGGTAATTTCCATCTATTTAGCAAAGCTCTGTGAATCACCACTGGAAGATTAAACAAACTGGGAGCAAATGAAATATGAAGACATTATATGTGACTCTAAATTATTCAATTTTGGCAGAGAGAAAAGTTGCATATTTGTGACATATAAGGAAGACTTAGAACGACTAAGGGGTGTGTGTGTGTGTGTGTGTGTGTGTATTTATTTACATGAATGCATGAACATGGGTTTTTCGCAAACATACTTTTTGGTCCAGTAACACTAAAGCATTTTACAGAATTTCTTCAAAAATAATAGTATTTAGATATAGTGATTTTTACAGTAGTCACAAGGCTCCAATGAGCACTCTGATGGAAGTCTTTAATAACAGACTAGAACATGGTGAACTAAAAGAAAGAATCAGAGCTGAACACAAGAGAATCGAGGTTCTTTCAACTACCCACTAAGTAAGCTAGTGAAAACTAAGCAAAGATTCATAATAATACTGGGCATTGCCATTAATACAACCCTTAAGCCCTAAATAGTCTTTCTTAAATGGACTTTACCTTACAGAAAACGTTATATAAATGTTCTTTTCTCAGGCTATCTAACATTTTAGTTTGGTTTTCAGAACATCTCACATTGTCTTGAGTTTAGTCCCCTAAGGTATTTGCTTGTTTCTGGTGTGTTTATGACAGTTAAGCTGAGGTAGTAGAAATTCACAGCCATTTCTTATGAAAAAAAAGTCGACATTGCCTAGAACTGAATAAAACTCTATCACATATTTTCTTCTACTAAGCTAAATAATATTTATTTGTACACTTTATTTTTCCACTAAAATTTTATATACCTACTTAATTTTTAAGAGCAGTGAAGTTATCCTATGACATATTTAAATCGGTATTTATTTTAGAGAGTTTTGGAGGATAGTAATTTATTTTAGCAGACGCTATATTATTCTAATATTCTTATTTAAACTAGACATACCATGAAATTAATTTAAATTAAAAGATATTGCAGTGCGTGTATGATTGATTGTGAACCCTCTCCTGCTATTCACATAGACCATAATTTAGTTCCCTCCCACAGAGTAGCTTAATTTTGGTGTGGATGTCCAACTGAATATGGCAAAAGTGAAGATGTATCTCTTCCAAAATTAGATTACAAGAGACTCTCTTAAATTTTCAGAGTTGCTCTGGGGAAAGCCAGCTGTCATTTTGTGAGGACCGTCAGGCAGCCTGCAGAGAGGCCTATATGGCAAAGAAGAAACATCTTCTGCCAGCAACCAGAAAGGACTGATGATTTCTAACAACCATATGAGTTAACCTGGGGGAGAATTCTCTAGTTCCAGTCCAGGCCTAGAAAGACTGCTGCCTGGATGGCAGGTGGAATACAACCTGGTGATTGAGCACAGGACAGAGCACCTAGAAGTTTCTTCCTGGGTCACTGACCCTGAGAAACTGTATTATATAACACATTTTTTTACGCTGCTAAATTTTAGGATAATTTGTTACACAGAAATAGTTCATTAATATAAGTTATTTAGAAGAAAGCTATAGTATTAATTTTGTATTTAGCTAATGGGTTGTAAAATAAAATTATTGATAGTATAAACATAAATATTAAATGTATATATTCCTTTTGGCAAATTCATTCAGAAAAACTTGGAACATGAGGTTATAAAATTCTAGCTTATTGATTTAATTATTATACTCTTATTACATGGGAAAATGCAGAACATTTTTTGTTCTCATAAGGTAAAGTTATATAGGATTTAAGAAAATATTTGATACAGAAAAATATGTCTACTTTAGTTGACAATAAGGAAAGGATTTTAGATACATTACTTTTTTAAAGTTTTCATGTCTCTTTGACAGATTGCCAGGTAATCTCTGAGTTTTCTGGAACTACATTCTTATGAGTAATAGGAACAAATCTGAAAGTTCTGGGCACAAAAGTAAAGGTAATAGCAATATACAGCAATAGCAACAGTAAGATTGAAATGTGTGATATCCACTGAGAAAACAAAACAAAATAAACATGGATATTTTAAAACATTATGCAACTATTTGTCCTACATATTATCTATCTAATTTAATTTCTTATTACACTTCTTGTTGGCGTTTTATTAAAAGTTAATCTTGTTTTTTAATTTAACTTTATGTATTTCATAAATAAATGTTACTATTTTTTACTTACATGACAAAAATAGGAATATAGAGTTGGGCAGAAAGTAAGTAACTAGGATATTTGAAGATCTAAAATAATAATCACTTTTATTAAATAATGAATTGGAAAGCCACATACTATATTTTCTAATTTCCTGACAGTTTTCTAATAGTTTTCACTTGGGGAAAATGTTTTAAAAACTTTATGTTACTAGACCTATGGAAAAGTCCAATCAAAATTAGGTTGAGCTAAAATGAAGTTCATGGTAAATTACAACTAGAGAAATACCAGTTTTTCCCCTATGTTAATAAATGTGGGACAGTCTGGATTATACACATGCAAAAAAAAACAAAAACCAAAAAGCCAGAAACAAAACATGAAAAACTTAAACCATTACCCCACACCATATAATAACAACAACAAAAAACTAACAACAACAGCAAAGAACAAAACTAGTAACAACAACAACATAAACACTAATTCAAATGAATCCCCAGCCTAAGTTTAAGAGATAAAAGTGTAAGATGACTATAGTGAAACACGATAGAAGGTCTTCATGATCTTAAGGTGGGCAAACAGTTCATTAAGTATGATACAAAACTTATTTTGATGATACTATTGATGACTCATATGCCAAGCATTCCCATATTGCATATTTTATCATAACTATACCTTCGAAAAAAGAAATGTTTTTGTTATCATTTTTCACGTGATCATCTTGAGACAAATATTAAATAACTTGTACAGTTTCACACTTAGTGTAATGTAAACATGAGATTTAAAAATATGTAGCTTTAAACATCATTGTCTTTGGGATTACAGTCCTTTACCTCTCACTTATTTTTGAAGTTCTTTAAAAGAAAATCAAACAATTGAAACATGTTAAAAGACTAGTAGGCAATTTAAATAAGTGCACAGTCTTGTAAGAGAGAATTGCAAATTATTGCAATGCTCTAATAATTGCAATATGATCCTTACAAGAAAAATGCACATTTGATGGCAATAGTCCCTTGGTACAATCATTTGGCTGAAAATGAATTTAAGAAGTTTAAAATTAGAAATAAACATATGATAAAAAGTATTCTGGAAAAATTATTTTAAAATTTACTAAATACTATCAAATTACCCAAGAGTGTTCAATGGTTATGAATGAGACAACAATTTTGGAACCATTAATGCTTGCATTTATTTTCTGATATGATTTCAAAATTTGAACTGGAGCCAGAAATTATTAAAAACAACTTGTAAAACTGTGCCAACCTTGCTAAATAAGCATATTTTGTGGAATATAATTTGCAGAAACATTTTGAAGTCAAACACATTGACAAAAATAATGAATAATTAAATCTATTTAAATGGCATTAAGTAACTAGTGTGTGAAAAGCCAATACTCAAGACATAATCATTTTCCAACACTTTCTTCTGTCAAAAAGTTTTGGTGTAATCCATTGATTTTAATTAATTTATTTATTTTAATCATTTTTTCAAGACAGAGTCTCTCCCTGTCACCCAGGCTAGCGTGCAGTGGCATGATTTAGGCTCACTGCAACCTCCCCCTCCTGGGTTCAAGTGATTCTCCTGCCTCAGCCTCCTGAATAGCTGGAATTACAGGCCATGCCACCATGCCCAGCTAATTTTTGTATTTTTAGTAGAGACAGGGTTCCACCATGTTGGTCAGGCTGGTCTTGAACTTCTGACCTCAAGTTATCTGCCCTTCTGGGCCTCCCAAAGTGCTGGGATTACAGGTGTGAACCACTGTGCCTGGCCAATCCATTGATTTTTAATAAATTTCTTCTTTTGAGAAAATCTAGTAGAATCTTTGGGAAAATCAGATGGACCCGGGCATGCACATTCAAAACTAAATTTTTACAGCAGCAGTTTTATTTTAATGAGTTTGTTTTCTGGCTGCAAGAAAAGAAATTATAAGAATATTCATCATTTATTTTAATTTGTAAATTTATAAATTTATAAGTAAACAAAGCAGAAGCAACACTTTAACAGATTTTTGATTCCATATAAATGTTTGGACATCTGTGTTATTTTTGAAAACATCACATTGGAGAAAGTGAAAGTAAAAATGCCTACTGTCTCTATTTCAAGTTAGGGTATCAAATTCTAAAATTGCACATAGTTTTTATATTAACATTTGTTAAGGAGACCTTTAAAATGGATGTCTATAGAATAAAAATAAGGACTATTCTTCTCGTATAGATATATTGTCATTCAACAACAAAATATGACGCTTGTATCTTCTGATATGTTTTTTTATTTTTAGTTACATGAAGATAGATAGAAATATAGGCAGACACGTAGAAGTCAGATAGAGAGTGAGAAAGATAATGAGAGAATGTTTGCTAGTTTGATTTCCATTATAGTTGTAATCCATATATGGCATTTCATTTCAGAATACATAATACTGGAAATAAGTTCTGATTTTGTCTTTTTGAAGACCACTTTTTTCTTGGAGGAATTATCATTTCATGTACCCAGTTTCTAAAACTCTTTAGCAATTAAGACACCAATACTACCATATTTAAAAGATCTAAAATGAAATATGGCATAAGCTCTGCCATATTTAACTATATTTAAATCATTTCAAAATGACACTACTATGTATAATACGTTATTTTCTATTTATTGCTTTCAATACTTCACTCATTTTAGGACATATATTACTTTATTCAAAATAAACCATCTGGATATGTCAAGAAATGATATTTTCATGCAAAGTAAAAGAGGTATAAAATGTTTATCTCTATACTGAACTTGAAATATATGAACTTGCAATAATTGATTTGGTACTAAGTTATTTCCAGTATCATTAAAATAGAAGAGATTTTATTCACTAAGTTGATCTTATAAGGCAAAGCCCTATTATATTGTACTAATTATGGTAGCTGAGCAGCGGAAAATAAATAAATATTTTCATACCAATGGATATCTGGCTAGTTAATACCTTCCATCACTTTTACTTGGCAGGTCTTGCCTTAGCACAAAATTGTCCCTCTTTCTAATAGGTCCAACATATCTATCATTAGTCTACTTCCTCTTTGCTTTTGAAGGTAGTTTTTTATTCATGCTTATAAAATTTAGAAACAGAGAGATTTGTATGTGTATTGGTTGTCTATTGCTGCCATAAAATAATTATGATTGGCTTAAAACATTATAAATCTATTACCTTGGCTGGGCGTGGTGGCTCATGCCTGTAATCCCAGCACTTTGGGAGGCCAAGGCGGTTGGATCATGAGGTCAAGAGATTGAGACCATCCTGGCCAACATGGTGAAACCCCGTCTCTACTAAAAATACAAAAATTAGCTGGGCACAGTGGTGCATGCCCGTAGTCCCAGCTACTCAGGAGGCTGAGGTAGGAGAATTGCTTGAACCCAGAGGTGGAGGTTGCAGTGAGCCGAGATCGCGCCACTGCACTCCAGCCTGGTGACAGAGCAAGGCTCTGTCTCAAAAAAAAAAAAGAAAAGAAAAGAAAAAAAGAAAACAAAATCTATTATTTCACACTTTTGTAGTTAAGATTAAGGCATGGATTGTACATGAGATCATGCAGTGTTTGTTCTTCTTTGCCTGGTTTAATTCACGTAGTGTAATCTCCCCCAGTTTAATTTACATTTTTGCACATGACAGAATTTCCTTCTTTTTAAAGTTGCGTATATATACCGTATTTCCTTTATCCATTCATCCAATGATAGACACCTAGATTGTTTCCATATCTTGGCTTTTGTGAATAATGCTGCAATGAACACAGAAGTGCAGTTATCTCTTTGGCATGCTGATTTCAATTCCTTTGGATATACACCCAGAAGTGAGATTGCTGGAATCTATAAAAGTCAAACTCATAGATGTAGCAAGTAGAATGATGAGTATCAGATGTTGGGGAAGGTAAGGGGGAAAAGGGAGAGTGGTGACTATAATAAACTGTAAAGCATTGGTATATAAGTAAATATATATAAATATTGTTAAAAAGTAGATTTAAAATGTTTTGCTACAAAATAATAATAAGTATGTGAGGTGATGAATTTATTAATTGATTTGATTATTCCACAATGTAAACACATATCAAAACACCACATTACACCCTATTAATACATACAATTACTATTTGTCAATTAAGAGACCCCAAAGTGTCAGCAAGGCAGAATCCTCTGCTGGAGGCTCTGGGGGAGAATCCACTTCCAGGCTTTTGCAGATTGTTTGCAAATTTTAGCTCCTTATGGTTTTCTGACTAAGGTTCCCATTTTCCTGCTGGCTATCAGCTGCAGGCTGTTGCTTGCTCTTATTGGCCACTATCCTAGACCCCTACTTCTACCTTGAAAGCCAGAACGGAGGACTGTCTCCCTGGCATGTCTCAAACCTTTTCTGCTTTTTCTTCAACTACTCCTCTCTGGTTCTTCCACTGTCTTCTTGCCCTTTGAAAGGTCCATATGATTATATTTGGCCTATCTGCATAATCTAAAATAATTTTCTTATTTTATGGTTGAAAACTTAAATTCATCTGCAAAATCCCATTCTGCCATCTACTGTATCATATTCCTGGTTTCCAGGAATTATAATGTGGACATCTTTGGAGGGCCATTATTCTGCTTACCACAGTAAATATAGACATTTATATATGTTTTGTAGACACAAGGAGGAAGAGTAGGACTATTAAAACTCTTGTACATCATATCCTAAAAACAGGTAAGTATTTTCTCAAAATAATTTCTTTTTGGCTTCATGTAACACTATCCTCTCTATATAATGGAATTCTATTATAGTAACAAACATTCTGTTACTTTATTTAGGGCTAAACTCCAGAATGTCTAATTTTTTTTTCTTTCTTTACTGTTAGGCCCCCTTATCAGTATTCTGGAACAAACCAGCCGTTAATCCTCTATATGGGCAAAACAGAGGATATTTATTTTATTGTTTTCTATATAGACTTACTTTCATAGCTGTTGGCATTAATATATGCTAAAATCTTGATCATGATTATTGCCTTGTCCTTTAAAGTTCAGCATAGTTCAAAACGGGTGTTAATGGGATTTATTTTTTGATAAGCTAGGCTATAACATATACTGGGATATTATTAACTTGTATTTTAATCTAGTCCTTGAAATTACATAATCAACACCTAAATACTTTCTAAAATGGTTGAATACTGGCTCTTATTCTCCCATATAACCTGCTGCCTTTCTTGAATATTTTCATACTGTGATAATTTTTCCCTAGTCCTTCTCCCTAATTAGTGGCATTTATTGGTCTTCTTTTCTCTCTCCCTCCTTCCCTTTTCATCTCTTCCTCCTACTCCTTTTTTCTTATCTCTCTTCCTCTCTCTCCTTTTAGTTTCTAAACTTTGTTTAGATTGTTAAAGCGATACAATTCTGAGATCTCATGAGAGCAGTGCGTCAACATACACACTTTGGAATTTCTTCCCGAATCGCATTATCCACTCACTCAGTTAAATGTTATTTCAGATCTATGTACATCAGTTAATGGCTGCTTTTTAATATATGACCTAGAACGTACAACTGGAACATCTCATGGTTTCTCACCGCTTGATGGGTTAGACTGTTAGAAAATGTCATAGATTGAGTTGGGAAATTCAAAATTCTTGTGTTTAATCCCTAATCCTCAATGTGACTCTGTTTGTAGACAGGGCCTTTTAAGGGGTAATTAGGGTTAAATGATGTTATAAGGGTGAAACCCCAATGCAATAGATCTTGTGTCCTTATAAGAAGAGGGAGAAACCAGGAGTGTGTAGGTACAGAGGGTACAGAAGAAAGGCCATCTGAGGACACAATGAGAAGGCAGTGGCCCTCTGTGAGCTACAGAGAGGCCTCACCAGAAACCAACCCTGCTGGCACCTTGATCTTGAACTTCCAGCCTAGATAACTGTGAGAAAATAACCTTCTGTTGTTTAAGCCACCCCATCTGTGGTATTCTGTTATAATGTCTCTAGCAGACTAAAATACAGGGAACATGTAATTAATGGGATTCCTCGATCAGTTAAGTTTCCTCTACTTTCAAAATATCTTTAAAGATAGCAGTAAACCTGGGTGCCTTAACTTTGTATACAAAATATTTTTTAATTAATTTATTTTTAATGTACGATATATATTTATGATATATAGTTATCAAATCAGAGTAGTTAGCATATCTTCAGTCATTGATCATCTCATGCATTTATCATTTCTTTGTGGTAAGAATGTTGAAAAGCCTCTCTTCTAGCTATTTTGTAATATACAATATATATAAGTTGCTTCAAAAATTCCTGATTAAAGTAATAACAATCTGAACATGCCCTATAACTGTGAAGAAAGCAATGTGTGGAACATACTTCAGTTTTTACAGACATCGGATTAAGGCATATTTAACTCTATTTTAAAAATGTCCCTCTAAGGAGATTGTACTAAATTATTTAACAATTTCATGTAAGATATTGAAATGATATATGGAATAAAAATAAGTTTGCTGGATTTTCCTTAAGTTGAAAGAAAAATTAAAAGTTAGAGAACAAGATTAAAAGATTCATTGGCTATTTTAGAATTTCACAAGTGATTTGACTTGTTTTAAAGAAATAATACCACCGTGTGGAGTGACCAAATGTTTTATAGAGTGATAATCATAGTGTTGCTTCTCAATATTATTTCTTACACTATATTGTAGTTTATTATTGCTGTCATAACAAATTACCATAAACTTAATGCCATAAAACAGCATACATTTATTATCTTAATAAATAATAAGAAATCCAAATAAAACACAGAGATTAAATTTTTTTTTGTTTAACTAAAGAAAAAATCTGAGCAAAAAAAGAATTTCATAAAAGTAGTGTTTTCTTTCTCCTACTTCTGAATTTTATATATATATGGGGGCATAATCCAAATTTTCTCTCTTGAGGATTATAAACTGTGATCCCTAGGTCCATAGAATTCATGCTTCTATTTCACAGGGCGTTTCTTGAGGAAATAAGGAGGAATATGAGTCAGCAGAGATTCCAGATTTTGTCCTGTGATCGCCAACTGACAATCCAACTTCAGGCCCAGTTATTGGGCTTCTTGTAATAGCTGCACTGCAGCATGATGACTAATGTTTAAAACGTTAAAGAAAATGATAAAACCACTGAATTTTAAATGTCCTTTTGTTATAGATTTGATCAAGGAAACCCCAAAAAGTTAAATTCTTTGCCCGTGCTTATATACTGAATTTGTGTAAGTCGTGCTTGAGCCAGATCTTTTTTTTTTTAATTTTATTATTATTAAACTTTAAGTTTTAGGGTACATGTGCACAACGTGCTGGTTTGTTACATATGTATACATGTGCCATGTTGGTGTGCTGCACCCATTAACTCGTCATTTAGCATTAGGTGTATCTCCTAAAGCTATCCCTCCCCCTCCCCCAACCCCACAACAGTCCCTGGTGTGTGATGTTCCCCTTCCTGTGTCCATGTGTTCTCATTGTTCAATTCCCACCTATGAGTGAGAACATGCAGTGTTTGGTTTTTTGTCCTTGCGATAGTTTGCTGAGAATGATGGTTTCCAGCTTCATCCATGTCCTTACAAAGGACATGAACTGATCATTTTTTATGTCTGCATAGTAGTCCATGGTGTATATGTGCCACATTTTCTTAATCCAGTCTATCGTTGTTGGACATTTAGGTTGGTTCCAAGTCTTTGCTATTGTGAATAGTGCCGCAATAAACATACGTGTGCGTGTGTCTTTATAGCAGCATGATTTATAATCCTTTGGGTATATACCCAGTAATGGGATGAGCCAGATCTTTTGACTATTAATTTGGCATGCTTTTCACACAAGCACATTGCTTCATTTGCACCTGCAATTCTCAGGAGTATTTCTTTTCTTTCCATAAGTGATTCCATTAATCCTCAATGATTGACTGTGTGTTCTTAGGGATTTCCAGATTGACTTTCTACCTTTGAAGCATATTAGTTCAGAAGAATAATGCAGTTGATTGATTTTTCTCCTACTAAATTTACTAGATGATTCATTGAATTTATCATACTGATTTCTATTTCTATATAATATAGTAAAAAATATAATATCCAACTTTATAACTTGACCTGATGTTTCCTGTAATTTAAATACAGTATAGACAATTGCAAAAGGTTTGCCTGTATGTAACTGAAATCATGTCATTATTTTACTGAGATGAACTTCATGGACTACATCATTCATTTAATTTTTTTAGGGTGATAGAAAGGAAAATACTGAGATGTGAAGTTATATGGACACACTTGCATAGTTATTGGTGGTACTGAGTTATTCAGTTTTTGTAATTTTTAACCATTTTCCATAATTTTTTGTTCCACAGTTGTATTCTATTCAAATGGTTCTTGAAATTTCCATTATGCCAATACCAATGCAGCCAAAGTTATGTTCACAAAAAGGTTTGGTGAGTGTTGTATGTAATTTCTCTTCATTCAGGTCTTCGCAGCATATTTCATCATAATTAATAGTTCTCAAAGCTGCTTCAGTAAAGTTATTCTTAGTAAACATTCATCCCATTGTGTATATGGATTTAATGTGATAAAATGGTTTCTTCCACAGGCTTTGCTGATGATCATATCATCTCAAACAGCTTCCCTAGGCACTGATGGCCTTTAAAAAACTGGAAAATTTGGATATATCTTCTGCTTTTGAGCTGCTGGTCTATTGTGCAATCTTCTGATTGTTGTACTTTGCCTCACATTGCATCCTGGCAAGGCCAAAATTTTGAATATTCAGTACTTTTTGAGGGTTCACTGTGGGTTCTGAGAGGATGAGCTGTTTTCCACACATCACAGAAATTAGATACAAAAGAAGATGGTCCTGGTCCCTTTCTACCTGTCCAGTCCACTTAGTTGTCTCCTCTCAATATTTTTTCTGTATCCATGGTCAGGTCAGCAAGCCTCCCTCTTTATAGTTACCCAGATGTGAATGATTATTTTAGGGTTTCTTCCTTGGTTTAAGGAAGGGAGCCTGCTACTCTATTAACTATTACTAGAAAGGAAGAGGGGAGAGAGCAGCTTCTATTAAAAAATATGCCCTGCTTTCCAAAAAAAAAGGCATATTTCCTATATAAACACAGCAGTGAGATGGAGGTACTTTGTTCTTTAGGATCTGTTAAAATGACAACTCTCAGTAGGTATAGGGAGGTGGTTGCCCTCAGGACAGGTGATTCTCTGAACTCAGAATGTGGGATCTATACTGTCTGGCCTTAGTTATGGTGCTTGACTATCAGTTCTGCACAAGTTAAAAAAAAAAAAAAAGCCCCCTAGCACATAATGCCATGTGGTTTGTGTCCATGCTTTCATTGATTTTTTTTCTTGACTTCCTAGAGTTTTATCATTGTAATAGAATGCCGCATTCAAAGATCCTCTTATATATCTCAAATAATTTTTTCTTCATGAAATTTACATATTAGGTATTTTCAGTGCCCAATATTGCTTTGTATTTTGCACATTAGGAAAATGATTAATCTACATTTGCAAATTAGTTAATTACCCAAAGACTGCACAGTTATGAATATAGAGCAAATCTAATAAATCTAAGTAGATTAGAAAATACACATTTGGCGCTTGAACAACACAGGTTTGAATTGCCTGGGTTCACTCATATGCATATATTTCTCTGCCTCTGCCACTGTTGGGAAAGCAAGACCAACCTCTCCTCTTCTTCTTCCTCCTCACCCTACTCAATATGAAGACAACCAACATAAAGACCTTTATGATGATTCACTCCCATGTAATGAATAGTAAATATATTTTCTCTTCCTTATGATTTTCTTAATAACATTTTGTTTTCCTTGGCTTACATTATTGTAAAAACATCGTATATAATACATATAACATACAAACTATGTGTTAATTGACCATTTGTGTTATTGTTAAGGCTTCTGGTCAAGAGCAGGCTTTTAGTAGTTAAGTTTTTGGGAAGCCAATAGTTGTATGTAGATATTTGACTATGTGAAGAGTTGGAACCACTGTTAAAGGGCCAATTGTATATAGTCTGAATTTTTAAACCTAACATTTACATGGGTCCCAAGTCAACTGCATGTAATATTTTCCATAATCAATAAACAATTATTTTAAAACATTTTCTAGCTAAAAAATAGGCAACTTATATAGTCAAATATAAATAAACCCAATATTTCAGTGCTAATTCAAATTCATTTTAACAATGTAAAATGCAAATATAATCCAGGTTAACTTTATTCTATCAAACAAGTTTTTTAATACATTCAGAATATTTGATCTTTATTTAAAGAATTTTTAGATACACACAGGGCAGTGGACTTCCTTTAATGAACAAGGCAAAAATGTTTTATTATTGTTCATTCTATTAATTGATGCATATTTTCCAAATTTATTCCACATTTTGAAATAAAAAGAACAATCTTTTTAATCACAAAATTTGTAAATTCTTTGGGTGTTAGGAAATTGATATTAGTATGTTTTTACTGATTTACCTTGTTTGCTGTTTGGCTTTTACATAAAAGGTTGGTTTAAGAATTTGCATTTAACATATTTGAGTAGGAATATAAGGAAAAGGACATTAAGTGATGACTTTATGAGTGAGGCAGGCCCTCAGTTGTTTCTGTACATATTTATTAAAACACAGTCTGACCCATTCATGACATATTGTTTATGGCTATATATATATATATATATATTTTTTTTTTTTTTTTGACGGAGTCTCACACTGTCGGCTGGGCTGGAGTGCAATGGCACCATCCCGGCTCACTGCAACCTCCACCTTCCCAGGTTCAAGCAATTCTTTCTCCTGCCTCAGCCTCCTGAGTACCTGGGATTACAGGTGCCCATCACCACGCCTGGCTAATTTTTGTATTTTTAGTAGAGACGGGGTTTCACTATGTTGGCCTGGCTGGTCTCAAACTCCTGACCTTGTGATCCACCTGCCTCAGCCTCCCAAGTGCTCATGATTACAGGCATGAGCCGTCGTGCCAGGCCATTTATGGCTATTTTTATACTACAACAACAGAACCAATTGTGACTAAGACTATATGGTTTACAGAATGTCCCTTTATAGGAAAACTTTGCTAACTCTTTTTTTTCTATGAGACCATTTTTAATTTTCCTCATTTTACACAGGCAATAACTTAATCTCAGAAAGATGAACGCCATCTTGAACACAAAACTGGTAAATTAAAAACTATGTTTTTGTTATCCAGGTGAATTTGACTATAAAAGGCATGTATGGATTAGCTACCAAAACAAAAACAAAAAAAAGGAGCTGGACATTCTAAGCAGAGAAAACATCATTTTGGTGGAATTGAAGAACACTGAAAATTGAGAAACTCTAGATAGTTTATTTTGGCTTCTATGTCTTAGAAATAAGAGAAGCCCAGCATATGTGACTGGAACAGAAGGCAGGAGTGAGCTATAAATAAAGGGCTTTATTACTACGCTAATGTGTTTGGCCTACATGCTTTATATAGGCGAGCAACATGGTCAGATTTGTACATTAGGAGTACCAGTCTAGTAATGTTATGGGAGATGAACTGGAATCAGGCTACTCTAGAAGGAGTCTGGTTATGTAAAGCAGGGTTCCCCAATCCCCAAGCTGTGGACCAGTACCGGATGGTGACCTGTTAGGAACTGAACCACACAGCACAAGGTCAGTGGGGACCAAGAGAGGATTACCACCTGAGATCTGCCTCCTGTCAGATCAGCAGAGGCACTAGATTCTCATAGGATCGTGAACCCTATTGTGAACTGATCAGGCGAGGGATCTAGGCTGCACATGTCTTATGAAAATATAACTAATGCCTGATGTTCTGAGGTGGAATTGTTTCATCCTGAAGCCACCCCACCCCTCACCCATCTGTACAAAAATTACCTTCCATGACACCTGTCCCTGCTACCAAAAAGGTTGGAGACCACTTATCCAAAAGATATTAGCAAGAAATAATTAGATAGCAGTGGTTGTGGTAAGAAAAAGCAAGAGACTGGATGAATTGAAAGGAAGGGCACAGCAGGTTGATTTAGGATGGGCTAAGGATGAGCATAACTGAAGACGACAGAAAAGATCATACAGAACTTGCCCACTATCATGTCACTGGGGACTGGAATGAGTTTTCTTTTTTCTACTGGGTCCTGTCATGGCGTCTGCAAGTGTGGCTGCTACATCTCTAGGGATCCTGCACTTGGCATTAGCAAGTCCTTACATGGAGACAAATGCAACTCTTTTCTAGCTAAGTACTTATCTGTCTCCATCCACTAAGAATCTAGATAAATCTTGATTTTCTGTCATTAGATTTACTTATGTCTTAAGATCAGTGCCCAAGATAACAAAACATTGTCATTCTTTAATGGATAGCCCACATCAGTCCACAGGATGCATCCTCTGTCCAGCTAGGCCATTTCGTTTTCAGAAGCTAGCCAGTCCATAATTCATCCTTTAATTTCTCAGCTTAAAGTCAGAAACCTTTTATAGGTTTAATACAGGTGTGGATCATAAAAAACTAGTAACCAGTTACCAATTTGATAATTTAATAAATTTCCTCTTAGTGTAGAAACACACTTTGGAACATAACTTCTATTGCACTTTGATACATTAGTGGAACTTAACATTTTAATACTTTATCACAGCCACTTAAAACAGGGATCTCCAACCCCTGGGCCATAGACCTGTACGGGTCTGTGGCCTGTTAGGAACCAGGACACACAGCAGAAGGTAAGCAGCAGGTGAGTGAGTGAAGCTTCCTCTGTATTCACAGCTGGTCCCTATGGCTGGCATTACTGGTACGCTCTACCTCCTTTCAGATCAGTGACAGCATTAGATTCTCAGAGGATCACAAACCTATTGTGACCTGTGCATGCCAGGGATCTAGTCAGCCTGCTCCTTATGAGAATCTAATGCCTGATGATCTGTCACGTCTTCCATCACCCCCAGATGGGACCTTCTAGTTGCAGGAAAACAAGCTCAGGACTTCCACTGATTCTACATTATGATGAGTTGTATAATTATTTCACTATATATGTCAATGGTAATAATAATAATAATAATAATGAAGTACATAATAAATGTAATGTGCTTGAATCATCCTGAAACCATCTCTCCCGCAATCTCAGTCTATGGAAAAATTGTCTTCCATGAAACTGATCCCCAGTGTCAAAAAGGCTGGGGACTGCTGACTTAAAGCAATAATAGGTAGAGTTTCAGCCAGAAGAATATGAAAGTAAATACATTACAGAAATATATTGGAGGGTTATCTAACCTCCCAAATTACAAGTTAATTTAATCCATAATAACTAATTTTGATACTCATGTTTCATGGGTTAAACTTATTATATTTAAATAATGTTTGATAAGAATGTGAGAATAAGAAATGTTTAATACATTGTTCTTCAAAATTAGGATAAATATCAAGGAAAATCTAATTAAACAGCCTTTTTACATTTAAGGATGTCTAGGTTTCTTGCTAAAAACCAAGTCCTTGGGGCTGGGCACAGTGGCTCATGCCTATAATCCCTGCACTTTGGGAGGCTGAGGCGGGGGGATCACAAGCTCAGAAATTTGAGATCAGCATGACCAACATGGTGAAACCCCATCTCTACTAAAAACACAAAAATTAGCCAGGCATGGTGGCGTGTGCCTGTAATCCCAGCTACTCAGGAGGCTGAGGCAGGAGAATCGCTTGGACTCGGGAGGTGGAGGTTGCAGTGAGCTGAAATCGTGCCACTGCACTCCAGCCTGGGCGACAGTGAGACTACGTCTCAAAAAATAAAAATAAAAAACAAAAAAATAGTATTTGTTATGTGATTTGATATGAAATATATTCTCAATAAAAACCAATATTAACTAGGTAAAATACATGTCAATTTTTGGAAGTTCTCCTTGTTTGATAATTTTGTCTTAGCTGTTTTATAGAACAAAAAGAAATCTTTTTTTAGGAATGGAAAACTTGCTAAAGTTTGCAATGAGGCTACATTCTGAATCATCTTACACTATTCCATTTCTAAAATTTAATTGGAAGTTGTTGATCTTCCCTTTCAGGCGGTGCCATGTTAAAGCAAGGAAGAAGATAGAAAGCTAAGTATAACACTCAACTCTTTCAATGATTGCAAATGCTGCTATTATGCCCTTCAGTGATCTAGAGGAAAATATATTACCTAAATCTCATTTGGGGAGTGTTCATGGTATATTCTGGTGTAACTAGAGTATACTACTGTAATAATACATAATTTTAATGCAAATTTCTAATGCATGAAAATTTTAATGCAATCTTCTAATTTTCTGCATTATTATATTTCTGTCAATAAGAGATTCTGATTATAATTTTGAAGACAGATTCTCCATGGCTAAAATTTTTTTGTTTATTGAAAACTTCCACTGATGTAATCTAATTGCCAAATGTTACAATTGTTCTTAAAATCATACAAACATAATTGTATTCTGTCTTGCAGTCTGGGGAATAAAAGAAAAGTGTTCTATATGTGTGTATATGTATATAAAAGAAACATAGTGCAGGAGAGTTTCATAAAGTTTTTTCAAAATTTTTCAAAGGTAAGCGAACATCGTGCCAGTCATTATTTTGTAAAAACATTTTATAACGTATCATTCTTCAGACATTTACATCGGGTATGATGCTGGTTCAAGGTGAGGTATAGCTCCTGATGGCATGGGGGAATAATCTGATTGATTTCCCATAAGCATCATCCTTTCTGGCTGGGCAGGGTGGCTCACGCCTGTAATCCCAGCACTTTGGGGGGCCGAGGCAGGCGTATCATGAGGTCAGGAGCTTGAGACCAGCCTGGCCAACATGGTGAAACCCCATCTCTACTAAAAATACAAAACGTTAGCTGGGCATGGTGGCATGTGCCTGTAATCCCAGCTACTCGGGAGGCTGAGGCAGAAGAATCATTTGAACCCAGGAAAGCGAGTTTGCAGTGAGCGGAGATTGCGGCATTGCACCCCAGCCTGGGCGACAAGAGCAAGACTCTGTCTCAAAAAAAGAAAAAAAAGTCCTTTCTTTCTAACATAATTTTATTGGCCATGTGTACTTGTTCACAAAAAGACACAAGCACACACATACATATACACAACAGAGGAAATAAGACAAAATTACATAACAGTATGAATAGACACAGCTGCCCTTAACAGTATAATTTTTATTTTTTCCTTCTTCTTTTCCTCGGCCTCCTTTTCCTCTTCCTCATCCTCTTCTTTGTCCTTCTGTTACTGAAACACCAAGGGTTCAGTCTAGGTCCTGCTGCTTGCAACACAGAAAACTAACCACTGAGACACCTAATTGGGTTCTGCAGCTGAGGAGATGGGAGATTATTCTCAAATCCATCTCTCTGACTAAAACTAGGGGTTTATATAGCAGAGAAGAAATGGAACAATATATAAGAAAATGGGAACCAGGGAGTGGCAGGGAAGAAATCATGATGAATATGGGGTCCAGCATCTCCATGTCTAGATGCTGTGATCTGGTGAGTTTCAGTTCTTTGATACTTTCTTTGAGAAGCCTAAAAGTCATTTCCTGAGAAAGGAACTCAAACAAAATGAATATAAATTCCGAGTTTAAGCCCAGAGGGTCAATTTCCTTCTTTATTAAAAAAAAAAAAAGAAGAAAACTGTCTATGGGACTATTGGGTCATTTTCACTTCTCTCCTCCTCTCTTCCTTCTTGAACTCCTTTATTAATTTTTTTCATTTATTACTGGAAGGTGCAAAGAACTGAAGTCTAGGTAATTAGTAAGTGAAAGCTTAGATATTTAAGTATTAAAACACAAAGCTCAAATGATAGGGACTTCCTATAGACATACAATATTCTCTAATGGATCACAGAGGTTCTATTGTGTTCTTGAATTATTAAATATCTCCAAATTCCCCTCTTCTTTTCTTTTCTCTGAGACTCTTAAGCTCTTACTGCTCCTGTTTGGGCCATGTCTGTGTGGATAACCCTAAAGTAAAGCAACTTTTGGAATGGAAATGCCACTTCCCTCACATCAAACCATAGGTAACAATAAACTAAAGTCTGATTTATTGAACACACAGAATCACAGACCTTGAGGAAGCATTTTATTTTGCATTATTCATAACTATGAATGTATTATAAACTCCGCTATTATTTTTGTTTATTGTTGTTTGTTCATTTTGGCCTAATTTGCTCACCAAAGTAGGAATATGTATTATGAGTGTAATTCTTCAAAGAGATATTATGATTTCTGAAAGGCAGTGAAGGTGAATTCTCAATGATTTTTTTAACACATTGACAGATACCGAATCATATTTGAATACTAATATTATTATCTTAATAATTTTGCAATGATATTCCAGAAAATATTAAAATATCATTTTGCCTTTATGATAATCTTTAAATATTTTAATTATATTTATAGAATTTCATTTGTGAGTGCACTGAGAAAAAGTATACAAAACTATAGCCTTGAGGAACATGCCTTTGTATTATGACCATTATAAGGGTAGGGATTTGATACATGAAATATGGCATAGTGCTTAGAAATACTGATCTTTGGGCCCCAACCAGACATACTATAACATAATTTAGAGTCGTCCCAATATATCATATCTATTTTATTACATTATAATTTATTATAATATAGAATCGAATTTTTATTTTAATAAATATTGAATATAAACAAAATATTTCTCATTTCCCACATGATCTTCTAATCACTCCATTTCAGAAGAAACTAGTTTCTTCTGAACACCTTGTTTCAAAACTTCCATAGGTGACCACCCTAAAACAGTAGAAGATATAGTTCACCGATTCCATTATGGTGAAATTTTGCTTACTATGTTGACATACCAGGAGCTCAAAAAGTTTGATCAATGATTTTTAAAAATGTTTATTCTCTATTTGTACTTTTTATTAAGAGATTTGCTTGCTTTCAATATTCCATTACTCAAGACAATGCCTCAAGCTTTAATATATTATTCAGCTCTAAATTTTCAAGTATTAAATATTGCTACCACCATTTCTCTACATATGTAGTTAACTCTCAAGTATTCACTCAAATGTAGAGAGCAGTGGGGCATGCAGTGCAATATTATAGATCATATTAAAAGCCTGACACAGGAAAATTTTCCATTTATATTTAAATATGTGTATTTTTTTGTGTCTGTACATTCATGCCAAACAAACAAGCAAATAACATGTAAAGTAATCCACCCTACAGGGAGGGTAGAAAATTTACTGGACTCTGTTAAGTTTCCCATTATGATCTTTTACTCAGCTCATACCTGAATCTGACTTTAAGTAGGAAACGAGCAATTTTCTCTCAGTTTTTAATCCCTATTTTTTCCCTTTTAAAATGTTCCCTAGAGGTAGAAATAAAGAGCTTTTAAATACAAGAAGTAAACAGAGAAAAATCAAGAAATCAAGATGTGTTAACTGCATTTAGTGAGTAGGTCAGATATTAATAAATTCAATACTGCAATAGAATTGCTTTATCATACTTGAACATAGACCGTGTGTCCTGTTTTCCTAAGTGTATAAAATTCACATAGAAAGTTAACTGTACATTTCTGGATTATTCCAATAGGAAAATTGCATGAAAGGTGCTATATAGCTTCAAAAGCACAGTGCACATTGAGTTAAAAGTTAATGAGACTCAATTCTAGAATATAGACTATACAGAGCCAAAAAACATTCAGATGTATTACACTTCACTATTGCTTTTCCTAAGACAGTTTACTTCTATTATGAGTCTACTTGCTGCATCTATGAAAGTCTGCCAGCAGGGCTCTCCCTTGCATTATAATTTAGAAACAAATGACCTAATTTATTTATTTCTTTAGAATAAAATGCTAACATTGAAATCCATACCAAAATTAGATATGTTGAATTTCCAAAGCAAATGACTAATACAACTGTACGCTGGCTTGTGTTTTTTTTAATGATCAATTCATTATTAATCTATTAGTTTATAAATAATTGTGTTATTTAATACCGTATCTTACCTTCTGTCAGTTTAAAAAAATTAAAATAAAAAATTAGGCTATACACTAAAAACGTTTATAAGTTTGATTAAATGAACATTAAAGAAACTCCTCATTTTATGTATTGTCTTTTAGGCAAATTCTTATCTTTATCAGAAAATTGATTACTACACTAAATTGTTGTTTTTATTTTAATCAAGTAATGAGCTCAATAGTTTTGCTTATGGCAAAATGATTAGTCATGGGTATAAATCATTCTGTGATACATGAGTAATAAAAATATATAATAAATTACCTGAGTTGCACATAAGATTAAGCTGGAAAAATTATAAGAGATTGAGTAAAACTGATATTCATCCAGAGATTGTGAACTTTTTAATAAAAATAAACAGCCATGTAAGAAGAAATAATTAAATAGTAAAGAAGGAAGAAGGAAATAGTATCACAATGAGAGCTCTGGGCGGATTTTTTTTTTTTTTTTTTTTTTTTTTTTTTGAGATGGCGTCTCCCTCTGTCACCCAGGCTGGAGTGCAGTAAGCACTATCTCAGCTCACTGCAACCTCTGCCTCTCGGGTTAAAGCAATTCTCAATTCTCCTGTCTCAGACTCCCAAGTAGCTGGACTACAGGCACATGCCACCACGCCCTGCTAATTTCTGTATTTTTAGTAGAGACGAGACGGGGTTTTGCCATGTTGGGTAGGCTGGTCTCAAACTCCTGACCTCAGGTGATCCACACACCTCGGCCTCCCAAAGTGCTGGGATTACAGGCGTGAGCCACTGCACCCGGCCCTGGGTAGATTTCTAAATCATAGGTTTTAATGTCAGTTCAGGCTTGCCAACCTGCCACTAAGTAGCTGTGTGTCTTTGGAGCATTCACTTAAGTGGTTAAATGCATAGCTATATTTCCTCATTATAAAGCTTGGGAGCAAATAACATCTAACTGAGAATGACAATGATAAAGTAGACGTGGGTCATGTGTCAGATTCCTACTCAGTAGTCAGTTTGCTATAGCCTCTGCTTTCCATGTGAACTAATTTTGATATACTTTAATGAAGCACATACTGGGTTCCATTAATATCAAAGAAGGGGTCTAGATCTTGAATTTTCAAACGTAAAAACAACTCTGACATTGCTTCGCAAATTTTAAAATCTGAATTCTGCCTTCAATGTTCATATATTTACTGCTTGGTGAAGATTTACACTTGGACAACAAACAAGTCTTCATTTTGATTTTTTCAGAACAGTGGAAGTCTACTTTAGTGTGACTTGCTGAAATCAGCCATTGAAGAAGAAATTTCCAGCAGTTACAAATCATACTTTAAAAAAAGACCGGAAAAAAAGATGGGAAAAAAAAGGAAAAGGAAAGAAAATAGCAGAAAAATGAAGAATTAAATTGTACCTTTAATTTACACCACACTAGCATCATGATCTATATAGGTATAGTCATTCTAGTTCTTGGAATATAAGAAAGCAATCAATGATATGTTAATATACTTGATCATATTGTTGGTTACATTATCATCATAGATTTAGTCTTGAATTAGTATTATCACACGTTACTAATTGAATTTTCACATATGTCATTTCAAAAAATGTGAAAGAAATTCTATAAGCAAGACAATTATGAAAATGCACATAGAATTAGAGACAAGAAAGGACAGATAATTTTACACAGGTACACATAGACAAGCAAGAATCATGCAAATTTGTCATGTTGTTGGTTTTGTGATTCTCAATCATGATTCAGCAAAAGAGGATATAATATGTTCTGTTTAGATTGTTCTCTAGAGATGTAGAAAATGATATCCTAGTCAAAGAAAAAAGAGCTATACTTAACAAATAATAAAATACATGATTACAGGAAATGGTAAACATACAAAATATACTATGGTACAGTATGATTTTTAATAGGAAGAATAAAAATGTTTTGGGCAAATATCTTGAACTCTTAGGTTATGATTGTGGAGAATAATATTTTAATGACATAAAATAGTCTTTGGTAAAATTGTCTTACTTTTGTTAAATTGAGTTACTTGGCCTAAACCTGTCTCTATACTTGTGGGATAAAGATTGTTCCTAATGGCCTCTGTATACAGTGAACTGTACCCTAACTTGATGTGTAAATATGTTGTGACCAAACTTATGACTATACCCTGGTAATCAAGCAACAGCACCACAGCCAATCACAGCAGCCAAACCCTCAGCCAATCCAAAGTTGAAAGTTGCCAAATTCTGTCCAAATAAGGTCAGCCATGAACTGCACCAATCAGGTAATCTGTGTATGTAATTTCCTGTTTTCTGGCTATAAATATGGTTTACCACATTGGGCAGGGAGTCATTTCGAACTGTCTTAGTGCTGGAATGCTCCCTGGTTCTAGAATCTATTTCTTGCTCAATAAACTTTGTTAAATTTAACTGGTCTTATTTTTTAACACTTTAAATACTTGACAGGATTTATTATGTATTGAATCAATGTTGTGATTCTTATATTCTTATGAACTTTTGCTATGTGAAAAATAATGTAATTAAATGATACTAATCAATGATATAAATAAATTCTACATAAAATATAGTAGTAAGAAATGTTAATGCTGTCTTAAAATTACATAGATATTTATATTTAAATTTTAACATTTCTCATGGGCATAATTAAATACATTATGCTAAGAAAACTTCAAAATGAATATTAAAGTGTTAACTATTACAGTTTGCATACATAACAAAATAAATATTCTTTAAGCATTTAAACCTTATTATTGTAAAATAAGACAATTTCTTGGACTACTTATTTTAAAATGGGAGATATAGAATGAGAGCTTATACTTTTTATGATAATTAATAATTTAACTCTAGTAATTTCTCATATAAAATAATATATTAATTTTTAATATTTACTATATTTTATTATTTAAAAGCTGAACATCCAATTTAGTGTCTCTATGCATAGCCATCCAATAGAAACTACAGCATTAATTATTTTCAAATATATATTTTTTAAATAGATTTTACTTTTTAGGGGAGTTGTACATTCACAGGAAAACTGAAGCAAGGTACAGAGATTTCCATGAATCCCTTCCCCTGCTCATACATAGCATCCCCCATTATCCACATACACTCTATCATGTATTACAACTAATGAATCTACATTGATACATCATTATTCACTGAAGTCCACCATTCAAATTCTGTTTCATTTTTGGTGTAGGATATTCTATGGATTTGCACAAATATATAATGCAATGTGTCCAGTATTGTAGTATCATACAGAGTAGTTTTACTTCCCTAAAGCTCCTCTTTTCTCTCCCTATGTATCTCTCTATCCCTCCTTAAGTTCTAGCAACCACTGATATTTTTACTGTCTCAATAGTTGCCTTTACTAGAACATCATACAACATGTTGGAATCATACAACAAATAACCTTTTCAACTTGAAGTCTTCCACTTAGTCATATACATTTCAGATTCCTCCATGAGATCTTCATGACTTGATAGCTCAATTCTCTTTAGCAATAAATAATATTCCAATGTCTGGTCCACAGTTTATACATTCACCTACTGAAGAACATGGTGGTCGCATCAGTTGTGAAGTTTTGACAATTATGAACAAAAGCATTATAAGCTGCCCTGTGAAGGTTTTTTTGTGGATAAAAGTTTTACTTCCTTTGAGTAAATATTAAGGAGTATAATTGATGGATTTTATGGTAAGGACATATTTCGTTTTGTAAGAAACTGCCAAATTGTCTTCCACTGTAGCTATACAATTTTGCATCTCCACTAACAGTAAATGACAGCTTCTGTTTCTCCACATCCTTACCATCATTTGATGTTGTCAGTGTTCTGAATCTTGCCCATTCGAAAGAATATGTAGTACTATCTCATTGCTGTTGTAATTTGCATTTCCCTAATGACATATAATGTGGAACATCTTTTTATGTGCGATTTTCCATCTCCATATCTTCTTTGGTGTCATATATGTTAATAATTTTTTAGTCTGTTTTCATGCTGCTGAAGAAACACCCAAGACTAGATAATTTATAGAGAAAAAGAGGTTTAATGGACTTACAGTTCCACATGACTGTGGAAGCCTCACAATCATGCTGGATGGCAAAGAGGAGCAAGTCACATCTTACATGGATGGCAACAGACAAAGAAAGATAACTTGTTCAGGGAAAATCCTTTTTTAGAAAACATCAGATCTCATGAGACTTATCCACTATCATGAGAACAGCATGAGAAAGACCCACAGCCATGGTTCAATTACCTCCCACTTGGTACCTCCCACAACATGTGGGAATTCAAGACAAGATTTGGGCGGGGACACAGTTAAACCATATCAACAATTTTGGCCCATTGTTTAAATTGGGTTTTTCATTTTCTTCTTGCTGCATTTTACAGTGTGTGTGTGTGTGTGTGCATGCGCGCACACATGCATGTGTGTGTGAATATGTGTATTTTGGAGTACTGACCTTTATCAGCTGAGTTTTGCAAATATTTTCACCAAGGCTGTATTATGTCTTTTCATTCTCTTTACAATGACTTGGACAAAGCTGAAATTTTTAATTTTATTAAAGTTCACCTTATCAATTATTTCTTTCATGGATCATGCCTTTGGTGTCATATTTTAAAAAGTTGTCACTGCACCCAAGGTAATTTAGATTTTATAATATGCTGTTTTGTAGGGGTTTCAGAGTTTTGGATTTTACATTTAGGTCTGTGGTTTATTTTGAGTTAACTTTTATGATGGTATAAGATATGTTTATATATTTCTGTTTTCACATGTGGATGTCCAGTTGTTCCAGCACCATCTGTTTCTAAAGACTTTCTTTCTTCCCTAGTGTTGCCTTTGCTACTTTGTCAAAGAATAGTTCGCTATACTGAGGTGAGTCTACTTCTGAGTTCTCTGTTCTGTTCCATTGATCTATTTGTCTATTTTCTTCCACCAATACCGCACTGTATTACTGTAGCTTTATAGTAAGTCTTGAAGTTAGGTAGATGCAAACCTCACTCTTTGTTCTTCTACTTCAGTATTAATTTGGCTATTCAGGGTCTTTTTTCTCTCCACATAAATTTTAGAATCAGTTGATTGGTATTCATGAAATAACATTGAGATTTTGAGTAAAATTGCATTGAAATTATAAATCAAATTAGAAAATATTGAGTGTTTCTATGCACAAAGGTGGAATATTTTTCCATTTACTTAGTTCTTTGATATTTTTCCCCAGAGTTTTGTTTTCTTCATATAGATTTTGTGTATATTTTATTAGATTTATACCTAAGTACAGTCAGGTGTCACAATGATAGGGAAACATTTTGTGAAATGCATCTTTATGCAATTTTATTATCATAGTAGCATTATAGAGTGTACTTATACAAATTAGATGATACAGCCTATTACACATCTAGGCTATATGATATAGCTATTGCTTCCAGGCTACAAGCATACACAGTATGTTAGTATACTGAATGCTGATGCAATTCTAATATAATGGTAAGTACTTGTGTATCTAAATATAACTGAGCATAGAAAAGGTACACTACAAATACAGTATAAAAAATAAAAAAATAGTACATCTGTATAGGGCAGTTACCATGAATGGAGATTGCAGGACCGTAAGTTGCTCTGGGAGAATCAGTGAGTGGTGAGTGATGTGAAGTATTCACTACTATAAATTTCAGAAACACTATACACTTTGGCTATAATAAATTTATAAAAATATTTTTGGCTGGACACAGTTTCTCATGCCTGTAATCCCAGCACTTTGGGATGTCAAGGCAGGCAGATCATGAAGTCAGGAGATCGAGACCATCCTGGCTAACACAGTGAAACCCTGTCTCTACTAAAAATACAAAAAATTAGCTGGGTGTGGTGGCACACCTCTGTAGTCCCAGCTATTCAGGAAGCTGAGGCAGGAGAATCACTTGAACCTGGGAGGTGGAGGTTGCTGTGAGCCAAGATTGTGCCACTGTACTCAATCAAGCCTGGGTGACTGAGCAAGACTCCATTTCAAAAAAAAAAAAAAAATATATATATATATATGTATATATATATATATATATATATATATGTAGTAAATTAAACAGCTTACTGTAATGTTTTTACTTTATAAAACTTTTTTTTTAAAAAACCTCAATTCTTTTTCAATAACACTTAGCTTCAAAACACAAACACATTGCACAGTTGAACAAAGATATCCTTTCTATATATCCTTATTCTATAAGTTTTTTCTAATCTTTTATTTTTTTTTCTTTTTAAACATTTTGGTAAAAAACTAAGACACAAACATACACATTAGCCTAGGTCTACACAAGGTCAGGGTCATCAATATCATTGTTTTCCACCTATACATTTTGTCCCATTGGAAGTTCTTCAGGGGAAATAACACACATAGCACTGTCATCTCCTATGATAACAATGACTTCTTCTGGAATACCTCCTGAAACAATTGCCTAAGGCTGTTTTAGAGTTAATAATTTTTAACGAGTAGGAGTATACTCTAAAATAACAATTGAAAGTATAGTATCCTACATACATAAACAAGTAACATAGTGTATTACTATCGTTCATTATCATTATCAAGTATTATGTACTGTACATAATTGCCTGTGCTATACTATACTTTTATATGAGTGGCAGCACAGTAGCTTTGTTCACACCAGCATCAACACAAACACATGAATAATGAGTTGCACTTGCCTGTTACAAAAGCTATGGAGTCATGAGGCATTGGGAAATTTTCAGCTCCAGTATAATCTTATGGAACCACAAACATATATGCAGACTGTCATTGACCAAAACTTTGTTATGTGGTCCATGACTATTTCAATTTTGAGGACTGCTAATGTGAATGGTAATGCGTTTTTAATTTCCAATTCCACTTGTTCATTGCTGACATAAAGGAAGGCAATTGACTTTTGTATATTAACCTTGTAGCCTGCAATCTCATTATAATTCCTTGTTAGATCAAGAATTTTTTATTTTTGGTCAATTTTTCTGGATTTTCTATGTAGACAATCATGTCATCTGCAAAACCAGTTTTATTTATTCCCTCCGAGTCACTACGGTTTTACTTCCTTTTCTTGTCGTATTAAATGAGGCAGGACTTTCAGTGTGATGTTGGAAAGCAATGGTGAGAAAGAACATTCTAGCCTTGTTTCTGGTTTCAGCCAGACGACTTTTAGTCTTTCACCATTAAATAGAAAGTTAGCTGTAGTTTTCCATGGATGTTCTTTATAAGCTGAAAGAGTTCCCCTCTAGTACTAGTTCACTGAGAGATTTTATCATAGATGAGTGTTAAATTTTGCCTAATAATCTTTCTGCACTTTTTGACATAACCATGTGATTTTTCTTCTGTAGCCTGTTGATGTGGTGGATTATATTAATTTTTGAATGTTGAACTTACCTTGCATACTTGGGATAAATCCTAGTTGGTCAAAATTTATGTTTTTGAATACATTGTTGATTTTGATTTGCTTATATTTTTTGACAATTTTTGCATCTATTTTCATGTGAAATATTAGTCCATAGATATTTTTGTTTTTGCAGTATCTTTGTCTAGTTTTGATATTAGCGTAATGCTGGACACATAGCATAAATTAGGTGGAAATATTTCCTGTGCGTCTGCCTTCTGAAAGACATTGTAGAGAAAAATTGGCTTACTTTCTTCCTTTAATGTTTGGTATAGTTTACCAATGAGCTGGTATATTTTGGAATGCTATTAATTATTGATTCAATTTCGTTAATAGATATAGGCCTTCTTGGATGGTGTATTTCGCCTCGTGTGAGTTTTGCAGTTTGTATATTTTATGAAACTGGTGCATTTCCTCTAGGTTGTTAAATTTGTGATCATAGATTTCATTATACTATTCTTTTATTATCCTTTAAAGTCCATGTGATCTGTATGGATCATCTTAAGTTTCTGATATTAGAAATATGTGTCCTGTCTTTTTTTTTTTTTTTCTTAATTAGCCTGCCTAAAGGCTAGCGATCTTTTTAAAGAAGAAACTTTTGGTTTTGCTTATTTTCTCTAGTTTTTTTCTCTTTTCTATTTTATTAGTTTTGCCTTGAATTTTCATTAATTTTTTTTCTTCTTACATTAGATGTAATTTAATTTTTTTTGAGATGGAGTCTCGCCCTGTTGCCCAGGCTAGAGTGCAGTGCCATGATCTTAGCTCACTGCAACATTAATCTCACAGGTTCAAGCGATTTTCCTTCCTCAGGCTCCAGAGTAGCTGGGATTACATGTGCATGCTGCCATGCCCAGCTAATTTTTGTATTTTTAGTAGAGACGGGGTTTCGCCATGTTGGCTAGGCTGGTCTTGAACTCCTGACCTCAGGTGATCCACCCACCTTGACCTCCTAAAATGGTGGGATTACAGATGTGAGCCACGATACTTGGCCCTTTAGTTTTCTAAGGTGGAACTTAGATGATAGATGGCACACTTATCTTTTTGAACATACACATTTAATTCTATCAAATTGCATTTAAGAATTGTTTTCGTTGCATCCCATAAATTTTGATAAATTTGATTTTTATTATTGTTAGATCAAAATACTTCTTAATTTTTTCTTGAGAGTTCTTCTTTGACCCATGTGTTATTTAGAGGTGTTGTTTAACCTCCAAATACTTCAAAATTTTCCAGCTATTTTTCTGTTATCGATCTATTTTAGTTCCATTGAAGTATGAGAGCACACACTATATAATTTATATTCTTAAAATTTTTAAGCCATGTATTATGGCACAGATGTGGTCTATCTTAGTAAATGTTTCATGCAGTCCTAAGGAAAAAAAAAGTCCTTTCTTGTTTGATGAAGTAATTGATAGATTTTTATTATGTCCTGTTGATTCATGGTGCTATTGAGTTCAACTATGTCCTTATTAAATTTCTGCCTGCTGGACTTACCTACTTGTGTTAGCGGGGTTTTGAAATCTTCAACTGAAACAGAATCATCTTTTTCTCTTTGCAGTTTCATTAGTTTTTGCCTCATGTGTTTTGGTGCTCTGTTGTTAGGTGCATGCAGGTTAAGGATTGTTACATCTTTTTGGTGTATTAACCCCTTCACCATTATGTAATGCCCCTATTTATCTCTGATAATTTTCCTTATTCTGATGTTTGCTTTGTCTGAAGTTAATATAGGTACTTGTGTTTTATTTTTGATTTGTATTAGCATAATGTATTTTGTATATACCTTTATTTTATTTTATTTTTTTCAAAGAAAGGGCCTTTGTCTGTCACCCAGGCTGGAATGCAGTGGCATAATCACAGCTCACTGCAACATCAAATTCCTGGGCTCAAGTAGTTCTCCCATCTCAGATCCCTAAGTAGCTGGAGCTACAGGTACACAGTACCACACCTGGAAATTTTTTTATTTTTTTTGTTTTGTAGAGACAAGATCTCACTATGTTGCCCAGGCTAGTCTTGAACTGCTGGACCCAAATGATCCTCCCACCTCAGCCTACCAGTACTGGGATTACAGGTAGGAGTCACCACGACTAGCCTATCTCTTTACTTTTAATGTGTAGGTGTCTTTATATTTGAATTGGATTTCTTGTTAAACAACAAGTATTTGGGTCTTGTTTTTTTAGCTGATTTGGCAGTTCTGAATTTTAATTGATGCATCTGAATGATTGATATTCAAAGTAATTACTAATATAGTTGGATGAATATCTACCATATTTGTTACTGTTTTGTGTTTGTTGCCCTTGTTCTTTGTTCCCATATGTCTTATACTTTTTCCTGCCATTGTGGTTTTAATTTAATATTAAATTAATGTATTAATTTAATTTAATATTACATTAATTTAATTTAATTTTACATGATTTTATATTTTTCTTTAATTATTTAATTTTCACTCTTTTAAAAACTTTTAAGTTTTTGCTTTAATGTTTGCTATATAAATTCAAGTCCACTTTCAAATACCATATCACTTCATAGATCATGCAAGTACCTTATAATAACAAAATATTCTTTATTCCTCTCTGTGCCATTTATTTCACTTATACATAAGCATATATATATCATATATATACATATATACACACATACACATGCAAACATAAGCATACATAATTGAATACATTATTGCTATTGTAATTTTGAACAAACTTATTTTTTGATCAATTAAAAATAAGAAAGTAAATTATTTTTATCTTACCCTCACTTATTCACTCTCTGATACTCTTGACTTCTTTATGTAGATTTGAGTTTCTGGCCTATATTATTTGCCTTCTGTCCAAAGAAGTTATTTTAACATTTCTTATTGTCTACTGGAAAAATGCCCTCAATTTTTGTTTGGCTGAGAAATTATTTCTTTTTTACTTTTAAAACATAATTTTGCAGGGTACAGAGTTCTAGGTTGGTTTTTATCTCTCAACATTTCAAATACTTTATTTCTCTTCTTGTTAGCACACTTTTCAAGAATTAGATTGGTCTAAGTGTGTTATCTTTGATCCACTATAAGTAAGGTATATTTTTTCCTCTGGCTTTTTCATTTTTTGCTTTGTTTTCTGAAATTGGGATATGATATGCCTAGGTGAGGCTGGCATGTGTGTGCGTATGGCATTTATCATGCTTGGTGGCTTTTTTGTTTTTTTGTGTGTGTGTTATTTTGTTTTTTGTTTTTTTGGGGAGTGGGGGACGGAGTCTTGCTCTGTCCCCCAGGCTGGAGTGCAATGGTGTGATCTTGGCTCACTGCAACCTCCGCCTCCTGGTTTCAAGTGATTCTCCTGCCTCAGCCTCCCTGGCAGCTGGGACTACAGGCGCCCACCACCACACCTGGCTGATTTTTGTATGTTTGTAGTAGAGGTGAGGTTTCACCATGTTGGCCAGGCTGGTGTCAAACTCCTGACCTTGTAGTCCGCCCACCTCAGCCTCCCAAAGTGCTGGGATTACAGACGTGAGCCACCACGCCGGGCCCATGCTTGGGGTTTTTATAGATTCCTGGATCTGTGGCATTAGGTCTAACAGAATTTGGGAAAATTCTTAGTCATTATTGCTTCAACTATTTCTTGTGTTCCTTTCTCTCTTTCATCTCCTTTGGGTATCACTATTACACATACCGTATACTTTCTGTAGTTTCCCTATGGCTATTAGGGTTATAATAACAGAAACTAAAATCTTCTGCTATTTTTTTAATTCTTTTTTTTTTTTTTTTGTGACAGACTCTCATTCTGTTGCCAGGGTGGAATGCAGTGGTGTAATCTCGGCTCACTGCAACCTCCACCTCCTGGGTTCAAGTGATTCTCCTGCCTCAGCCTCCTGAGTAGCTGGGACTACAGGCGTGTGCCACCATGCCCAGCTAATTCTGTATTTTTAGTAGAGATGGGATTTTACCATGTTGGTCAGGATGGTCTCGATCTCTTGACATCCTGATTTGCCTGCCTTGGCCTCCCAAAGTGCTGGGATTTTAGGCGTGAGCCACTGCACCTGGCCCAAATTCTTTTTTATTTGTTTCCACTGTCATATCTTCACGTTTAGAGATTCTTTCCTCAGCAGTTTGCAGTCTACTAGTTAGCTTATCAAAGACATTCTTCGTTTCTTATAGTATTTTTGATCTCTAGCATTTTTTTATTGTTTCTTGGAGTTTTCATCTTTCTGCTTACATTATCCATTGCATGCTGTCTGCTTTTTCCATTAGAGCTCTTAGCATGCTAATTATAGTTGTTTTAAATTGCTGGTCTGATAATTCCAATATTCCTAAAATATCTGACTCTGGTTCTGATGCTTGTTCAGTATCTTCAAATGGCGTTTTTTGGTTTTTCTTTTTTTTTTTTTTTGCCTCATTTGTATACATGTATGTATGTAGTTTTTAATTTTTTTTTCTTTGAAATCCTGACATGATGTATTAAGTAAAAGAAACTTAATAGGTCTTTAGTGGTGTGGTGTGAAGTTGTGGGGGAAGGGAAGCATTCTATGGGTCTATGGTTGTCAGTAGTTCACAAACCTTTGCTACTGGACTGTGAACTTCACCAGTGCTCCTCAGTTTTTCTCCCCTTAGTAAGACAGAATGTCTAGAGGGGACCGGAGTTGGATATTTTTATTTCCCCAGGTAGATTGGGCTCTAATAAGACCTCAGATGATTAAGCTTTAGTAAATAGTTTCACCTGAGGTCAGACCTTGTTAAAAACAGAATGCTCTAGGGTGTTTGCAATTGGTAATTATCCCCTCCCCCTGCTGGAAGTAGAAGATTTTTCTCCTGTATTCTCTGTGAGTCCCTGGTACAGCTCTTGGAGGTAATTCTCACAAAATATAAGGGCATCATCTCTATGACTGGGTCCTCTGGAGTTTTAACTTTCAGACTTGCCCACACTGAGCCTCCAGCAATTCATCAATTAAAATTTAGGTTTTTTTCTACCCTAGCACTGGGTCCCATGGAGGTTTATGCTTGTAGGTTACTGTTTCAGTAAGTTGTGATTCTCTGTATCCACCTGTCTTTTCAATATTCAGGATAGTAGTTTACACTGTAACTTTACTTCTTTGGTCTAAGAAAAGTTGTTGATTTTTCAGTTCGTTTAGGTTTTACTTGCTGTTAGGATGAAGTGGCAACTTCTAAGCTCCTTAAGTGTCAGACTAAAACCTGGAATTTTCCTTGGTTCTCTTTGTAGATATTGTTAAGTCCATTATTTCCTAAAATGGAAAATGTTTAAATGTCAGCATCATATAAACTCATTTTAATATTTTTAACTGCTAGTAAATCATCAATTGGTCTACAAAGAGCCCTAGTTGAATATACTATTAAGTTTGGATGTTGCCATGAACGAACTGATGTTTACCTGAAATTTATGCCAGTGCTTGGGTCTCTAAGGGGTATAAACATATCGTGATAAGGGAGCCTAAGAGGTTGAGAACTTGTGACCAGACATTTATATGGCATCAATATATTCTGGTTAATGAAAGATGCTATCAACAGAGCGGGGTCTGGGAAGACAAGTAGTGGCGTGTCAGGGCAGATTGATACTGCTATTCAGGATATACATGATTAAGAATGGTCATAGAGGAGAAATTTTTATGTGATAGATATTTTAGCTATGGCCACATGGACAATATGTGGTGACAAATAAACATGTCTTTGTTTCCATCTGCATTGTCTTGAAACCATTTATCAATTCTGCCACTGAAAACCTGATTACATCCAGGAAAATGAGCCTATAGTAGAAAAATGTCTTTTTTTAATGTGGATAATGCTTTTGCACCACAGATTCAGTGTAGTGCTAAGAATTTGATTGTCAAAAACAGCTTACTCTCAACTATGACAAAATTTAGACAATTATATACATTCTTTTAATTAAAATAGGCAATAAATAGAAGTTTAAACAAATGTACTCAAATAATAGATAATAAATGGGCAATAAACATTTAAACAAACTTAAAATGATTATATGTGGACCTATTTTTGAGATTCCATTTTTAAACTTTGGTTAACGAACATGAGTAATTTTAGTTTGTTTTACATGTAATTTCCTTGGAGTGCTTAGGGTAGGCTTCCACAGACCAAGGATGAGTTTTAATATATTTCGCGATGCTACCTTCTAGTGCCTATCGCAGACCCAGGTACTAAAGAATAGGATGAAAGGCCAAATTCTACTGAGCCTTGTAATAGATATTATAGCCCCCTAGCTTTCCTCCCATCACAATCATTTTAATATCTGTATTACAACAATAATATATATTTCATTATTTCCTAAAGCAGAAAATGCTTAAGTTTTAGCACCATATAAACTCATTTTAATATTTTCAACTGCTAGTAAATCATCAATTGGTCTACAAAGAGCCCTAGTGGAACATACTATTAAGTTTGGATGTTGCCACGAACGAGTTGATAGATTGTTTACCTTAAATTTATGCCAGTGCATAATAGTTACCCAACTCTGAGCTCTTTGGCTGATGAATTTCATTTTGGTTTGGTTAATGACTATTAGAAGATAATAAACAGATGATAAAAGTGGATAAAAGTGGTAGCAACTCCATAAGAGGCCAATATCAGTTACAAAATTTAGAATCCTCAATGTCATTCTTATTGCTTACCCTCCCTCATGTTGACAAGTCCTAACATGTCTAGTTTCAAAATACATGTCAAATGGCCATATTTCCTTTTCTCTACATCTCCATGAACCCCATTGTAGTTTAAGTCACCATCATCTCTAGGTCTGAGCGAATCTAACAGGTTTTCATTTTTATTCTTTTTAATCCCCCTTCTTGTCCTCTAAACCATTCTTGTCCTCTAAACCATTTAAAAAATATTAGCTGTGGTAAACATTGATGATAAAAGAGTCACAATCCACATCATCTCTGTGTCCCATTTCAGGCCACAGCTGATAACTGAAGCATAACACATTGTTTCTCTAATACAACATATGAATTTATTGGCTGCAGGAAGCACGCTATAGTTGTGAAAAAAGAAGACTCTACATAAGCCTGCTTAGTTTAGAATCTTGACTCAGAGACTTACTGGTGATGCGGTTTTGAAGAACTTATTTAAACTATTTGTTTCAGTACCTCATTATAAAATATTGTAATAGTACCCTCTTAAAAGGTTGTTGTTAGAGTTAAATGGGTTAATTCATAAAGCAACTTAAATAGTACCTGGCACACAGTAAGCAATTGCTCAGTAAATATTCAATTTATTCTTGCCAGAGCCAAGAAAGCATAAAATGATCTAGGCACTATGTACTTGGCTTCCTCTTATTCTCCTGCTCATTCATTGTCTTCTAGACTCAGTGGCAACCCTCTGTTCAATTTCTCTATGCTGCTAAATTCTTTTTTTTTGAGATGGAGTTTTGCTCCTTTTGCCCAGGCTAGAGTGCAATGGTGCAATCTCGGCTCACTGCAACCTCAGCCTCAGCAGAGCAGGTTCAAGTGATTCTCCTGCCTCAGCCTCCTGAGTAGCTGGAATTACAGGCACCCACCACTACGCCCAGCTAATTTTGTATTTTCAGTAGAGACAGGGTTTCACCATGTTAGCCAGGCTGGTCTCCAACTCCTGACCTCAGGTGATCCATCCACCTTGGCCTCCCAAGCTAAGTCCTTTTTTTAGCTACAAGTTTTCACTCAGAACTTGAAATGCTCTCTCCTATTTTTCCCCTACTGGCTTATTCTTAACCTTATTTGATTTATTGTGACTTTCTCAGTAGACTCTCTCCCAATCATCTAGGTTTCCACGTATCAGGCCTGGTAATTTCATTTCAGCTGCGTTCTTCCTAATCATTATTATAAATATCTCATAATTCTATTTCAATTGATTGCTTCCTAATCATTATTGTCTGTTTTCTTGTTAGTTGTCTGCTTTTCTCTGTTGTTCACATCAAATTCTCAATGTTTTCTAGATAAAAGACATGAATAAAAGGTGCTCAATGCCCGTGTGTCCAGAATTGGTGGGTTCTTGGTCTCACTGACTTCAACAATGAAGGCGCGGACCCTCGCGGTGAGTGTTACAGCTCTTAAGGTGGCATGTCTGGAGTTTGTTCCTTCTGATGTTCGGATGTGTTCGGAGTTTCTTCCTTCTGGTGGGTTGGTGGTCTGGCTGGCTCAAGAGTGAAGCTGCAGACTTTCGCGGTGAGTGTTACAGCTCTTAAAGCAGCGCATCTGGAGTTGTTCGTTCCTCCCGGTGGGCTCGTGGTCTCGCTGGCTTCAGGAGTGAAGCTGCAGACCTTCATGGTGAGTGTTACAGCTGATAAAAGCAGTGTGGACCCAAAGAGTGAGCAGTAGTAAGATTTATTGCAAAGAGCGAAGGAACAAATCTTCCACAGTGTGGAAGGGGACCCCAGGGGGTTGCCACTGCCGGCTCAGGCAGCCTGCTTTTATTCTCTTATCGGCCCCACCCACATCCTGTTGATTGGTAGAGCCGAGTGGTCTGTTTTGACAGGGCGCTGATTGGTGCATTTACAATCCCTGAGCTAGACACAAAGGTTCTCCAAGTCCCCACCAGATTAGCTAGATACAGTGTCGTTTGGTGCATTCACAAACCCTGAGCTAGACACAGGGTGCTGATCGGTGTATTCACAATCCCTGAGCTAGACTAAAGGTTCTCCACGTCCCCACCAGACTCTGGAGCCCAGCTGGCTTCACCCATGGTGATTCCGCATGGGGATCCCGCATGGGGATCCCGCATGGGGGCTGCAGGTGGAACTGCCTGCCAGTCCCGCGCCATGTGCCCGCACTCTTCAGCCCTTGGGTGGTCGATGGGACTGGGCGCCCTGGAGCAGGGGGCGGCGCTCATGGGGGAGGCTCGGGCCGCACAGGAGCCCACGGGGTTGGGGGGAGGCTCAGGCATGGCGGGCTGCAGGTCCCCAGCCCTGCCCCGCGGGAAGGCAGCTAAGGCCCGGCGAGAAATCGAGCGCAGCGCGGGTGGGCTGGCACTGCTGGGGGACCCAGTACACCCTCCGCAGCCACTAGCCAGGGTGCTAAACCCCTCATTGCCCAGGGCCAGCAGGGCCGGCCGGCTGCTCCGAGTGCGGGCCGCCAAGCCCACGCCCACCCGGAACTGCAGCTGGCCCGCAAGCACCGTGCGCAGCCCCGGTTCCCGCTTGCGCCTCTCCATCCACACCTCCCTGCAAGCTGAGGGAGCCGGCTCCGGCCTTGGCCAGCCCAGAAAGGGGCTCCCACAGTGCAGCGGCGGGCTGAAGGGCTCCTTAAGTGCCGCCAATGTGGGAGCCCAGGCAGAGGAGGCGCCGAGAGCAAGCAAGGGCTGTGAGGACTGCCAGCACGCTGTCACCTGTCACCTGCATGAATTAAATGGTTGTGTTTACTAACCCAATACCTTAGGTGTGTCATGCTAGAACACAAGAGCCTTGTGCCAAAAATTCCGCTAATTCTACTACTGTTTTTGTACGATAGTACTTAAGATATCACTTTTCGGCTGGGCGCGGTGGCTCACGCCTGTAATCCCAGCACTTTGGGGGGGCCAAAGCAGGCAGATCACGAGGTCAAGAGATTGAGTCCAACATCCTGGCCAACATGGTGAAACCCTGTCTCTACTAAAAATACAAAAATTAGCTGGGCGTCGTGGTGCGTGCCTGTAGTCCCAGCTACTAGGCAGGCCGAGGCAGGAGAATCACTTGAACCTGGGACGCGAAGGTTGCAGTGAGCTGAGAATGTGCCACTGCACTCCAGTCTGGCAACAGAGCGAGACTCCATCTCAAAAAAAAAAAAAAAAAGATCACTTTTTGAGTTTTTGTCCATAGTGAATTTATTCTGAATCAAAATTTCTGTGTATTATTATTATTATTAATAACAAATATGCAGTCAATTTCTGGATAAAAGGCTTGGTGTCTTTTTTTCTTTTCTTCTTCTTCTTCTTTTTTTTTTTTTTTTGAGACAGAGATTTGCTCTTGTTCCCCAGGCTGGAGTGCAACGGTGCGATCTCAGCTCACTGCAACCTCCACCTCCCAGGTTCAAGCGATTCTCCCGCCTCAGCCTCCCGAGTAGCTGGTATTGCAGGCGCCCGCCACACCACCTGGCTAATTTTTGTATTTTTAGTACAGACGTGGTTTCACCATGTTGGCCAGGCTAGTCTCGAATTCCCGACCTTGTGATCCCCCTTCCTCAGCCTCCCAAAGTGCTAGGATTACAGGCGTGAGCCACCTCGCCCAGCCCAGAGAATGCAATCGAAGTTTCCTCCTAATTAGATATAAGAAAATGGAAAATTTAAGCTTCCCTCCTTAAAACATTTAAAGTTCCTATTAAATATCTTACCTAATTCAACAAAAATGGTGTTTCTTCTTTCACTAAAGTTTATCTTAACATTTTTTTCTCTGAAATACAATGTTTCAGATACGCACAATGTCTTTACTCGAGATAATTTTTAAAAGAAAGGATTTATGTATAGAGAACAGTTAAAGATAATAAAGTCTTAGGAAAAATAGAAAGTCCTTGAGTTGCACAGTGAAAAAGTTACTAAATAGAGAGTTAGAAGTTGAAAGAGACTGATAGATGTGGCTTCAGACTTCAGGTGATTAAGCTTGCTGGTGAAGAAGAGACCACACAGGGTAATGAACTGAGTGACCCAGATATAGCAAGCTACTTTCAACTGAACTACTCCACTAATGAAAACGTACCTGGCTTTGGTTGTTGTTTACTTTTAGAAAATAAAAATAATAATTAGCAGTGGAATTATTTTGATCCTCTATTTCCTTATGAGCAGTGAAGTAAACTTAGAACACTTTTTTGGTTCAGTTGTTGATTATTTCAATTGCACCAAAAACCAAACACCAATTTGTAACTAAAATAATGTACTGTAAAACATGAAAAAAGTAAAATACATAAAATTTTAGGAAAAGTGACACATCAAAAATGACAAGTCAAATAATTTTTATTTAAGATCCATTTTAAATATAAGCAGTTAAAATGGAGTCATGGAAGTAATCATTTTGGACATCAAGACTTCATATAATCTTTAAATATATTTATGTGCTATGGCTATCAAATTAAGTTGTACATTAGAATCTACTGATGTAGAGGTTATAAATAAGCCTTTGTAAAATGTTATTGTAGTTCTTATAATGGTATCTCATATTGTGGACAGCATTTAAGTATCAAACTGTGAGCAAAATTATTAAATAGAGAATATCTAAGAATTAAGAAAATTAATATCAGATAAGAATAAAATGAAGTTCATCATAAGACACTATTAAAAATAGCTACAAAAAAGTATTACAGAGTGCTTTTAAAATTCCTATATATAGATAAAATTAATAATGCTACCTTGTATATTATTGTTTTGTAACTCAAAGAAGAGATGTTTTATTTTGTTCAGATGAAGTAACTAGTAAACTTACTCTCAGATAAATCTTCATTGAAAAATATTTATGAATCATTGTACTATAAAACTGTGATGGAGAAGAATATGAATATGCTCCCAACTTCAATAAACTAAGTATAGTAGGAAAGTATGGAAAGGAAAACAACACCTTTGTCTTACATTTTGTGTCCTCATTTGATGCCAAACATACGTGTTATTTATTATTGTTCAAATCCTAGATTCAAAACATGAGTCTCAGATAAAGTACTTGACTTATTCAAAAATCCAAGTTAGAGTGAAATTATGGAAACAAAATCTGAATTCATATCTGCCTGGCTTGAAGGCATATGTTCTTTACACTCTATGACATGACCATCCACAAAAGCAAGGTCCATATACCTACCAGGTAGAAGCGGAAGACTTATAAACACGTAGTTAGAATGCAATGAAATAAAGGGTGTAAGGAAACAGCTACCTATTTTCAAAGACAGCAAAGAAAACTTGGTGTCGCTGTGACTAAAGAAACTAAGGAAGTAACTGATTGTCAAAATGAGCAATGATATTTGGAATTTTATTAAGTAGAACTGGTATAAAAACAAAAACAAAACACACAATTTCAATGGGAAAATGTGCATAGGGAAAGAAGTATGCCTTTCTTAAATATATTCTAGGCATTTTCTGCAAGGAGGGTGTGAATAACAGATTCTTATGTGAAATGTGCTTTTACATTTATGTGACAGTCACTTGTCCTCTTTATGGAGGCACTGCTTGAGAAATAAATATATAGTACAATAATCAATGGCTGAATTTTGTACAACATATATTTATTATAATTACTCATCAGAGAGACAACTAATACCTTGCCTGATAGACTTACTTTGTAATATCTGATGTATTCCATATTCTTTGAATGAAAATTATTTGACTAATTCTGTACAGTAATTCTTATGGTAATAGACGTCTGCAATATTAATAGAGGTAGGTCATCTACTTTCCAGGCTTTGGATTTTAATATCTATAAGAGGGGAGAAATCAGATTAAGTATATATTGGGATGTTAGTTCATCTGAGGTAAAGGACTAAGCTTATAGTAAAATTTTCAGATGCTAAATTCTAACTACTCTATAACTTGCTTTTCTCATTTGATAAAGTATCAATGGTTATTCCTTCAAGTTAATTCATACAGATCTAACTCATTTTTATAGTAGGTGGTGTAAGCTTCTATATTATAAATAAATGACAATTTATTCATTCTTCAACTGATGGGCAGTAAGATTTGTGTCTTTTTTAAAAATCCAAAACAACTGTGGAAGAAATATCATTATGCCTATATCCTTATATACTGGGATTTTGTTGTGATCAGATAAATTTCCAAAAGCATAATTCTGACTGAAGGTCTTCTTTATGCCATAGGTTTTAAAAGATCTTGTTAGATTTCTTTTTAAACTGAAGAAACACTTTAAGCTCTTGACATTAATATATAGGTTTATTTCCCTGATTTAAAAAATAGTGGATATTATCATTGTTTAAAAAATATTTACAATTTTTATGAAGGAATGATGTGATACTTTTTGTATTAATAATATGCATATTTTAACATCTAGAGAAATTAGGCATTTTTTTCATGAGGTCAGGATTAGCATTTGTTTTCCTCTGTAAATTGTTTCTACATATGTATTAAGCATTATTTATTGAGTTGCTTCTATTTTTGTATTAATATGATTTTCATTTTTAGTCTTATTTGCCCTTTATTGATATATATAGGGTTATATATTGAGATATACATACATACATATATATATATATATATCTATATATATATATATATGGTTACTTAGGTATGTTTTTCTTTTAAATTTAATTGTGATTTATTTTGCCACAGATGTTTAGTTTTTAATGTAGACTATATATACATATGTTTTTTCAGGGTTTCTACAGTTTTACTGTTCTTTATGAGGTAAGTTCATCTCAACACTATTAAATATCCTTATAGTTTTCCCTCTAATTTTCTGTTTTATATTTTCTATTTAAGACTTTAATTCACCAGGTTTCAATTTATGTATATAGCAAGGCAGAGATTTAGCTGTGATTTTATCCAGATATAGAGACAGTTTTGCACAGATCCTTACAAAGTTGAATTTTTTTTCTCATTGCAAGAATTAACCCTTTTGCCTTTTTTATTTTTTAATTTTTATTTATTTATTTTTTTGAAACAGAGTCTCTCTCTGTCACCCAGGCTGGAGTGCAATGGCACAATCTCAACTCACCACAACCTCCACCTTCTGGGTTCAAGCAGTTCTCCTGATTCAGCCTCCTGAGTAGTTGAGACTACAGGCATGTGCCACCATGCCCAGCTATTTTTTTTTTTTTTTTGTATTTTTAGTAGAGACGGGGTTTCACTATGTTGGCCAGGCTGGCCTTGCTCCTGACCTCATAGCCCACCCACCTCAGCCTCCCAAAGTGCTGGGATTACAGGCATGAGCCACCGTGTCCAGCCTACCTTTTGCCTTTCAGTCGTATCATTTTAAAATTTCCATAGCTACTTTCATCTAGAATTGTGTTTTGTTCCACTTTCTCTTTGTGTGCAATGCCAACAACTTTAATGGCATTTAAAAATGTTTAAATATTAGTGAGTCAAGAACACTCTTACTATTATTCTTCTAAAATTTCCAAGAATATTCAGATACTTTCTACTCCATAATAATTTTCTGTAATTTAATTTTAATTTTATATGTATATACACCTAATTAGGTGTATATGTATGTGTCTATACATATATATGTATATGTAAGACATACTATATATACATACACATACATACAATATACACCTAATTAGGTGTGTGTACATATATACACTTAATAATTGTATATGTTCATGTGGTACAGAGTAATATTTTGATACGTTTATACAATATATAATCATCAAATCAGGGTAATAAACATATCCATCACTTCAGACCTCTATCACACCTTTGTATTTAGAACATTCAATATCTTCTCTTCTAGCTATTTGAAAATATATAATGAGTTACTGCAACTATAATGACTCAAGAGTGCTATAATACACTAGAAATTATTCTACTTATCTAGCTATAATTTTGTGTTCATTAATGAATCTTTCATTATTATCTCTTCCCATGTTACTTTTCCCAAGCCTCGAATAATCACAATTCTACTCTCTATTTCTATGCAATCAACGTTTTTAGCACCCATATATCAGTGAGAGCATGTAGTACTTCTCATTGTGTGTCTAACATTTCACCTAACACAATGTCCTTCAGACTCATCCATGTTGCTGTTAATGACAGGATTTCATTCTTTTTTATGGATGAATAAGATTTTATTGTGTATATATACCACATTTTCTTTATCCATTCATCTGTTAATAAAACGTTGATTCCATATTTTGGCTATTGTGACCAGTGCCACAATAAACATGGAGGTGTAGATATCTCTTCCATATAATGATTTTCTTTCCTTTGCGTTAATACCAAGTACTGGGATTGCTGGATCAGATGTTCGTTTCATTTTTAGTTTTTTTAGGAACTTCCATACTGTTTTAATAATTACTATACAAATTTATATTCCCACCAACAGTGTACAAGAGTTCCCTTTTCTCTGCATCCTCACCATTGTTAATTTTACTCTTTTGACAATAGCCATTTTTTTAGATACAAAATAGTCATACCTATTTGGGAAGTATATATGATATTTTGATATATAACATGTAAAGATCAAATCAGAGCAATTGGAATATTCATCACTTTATATACTTATCCTTGTTATGCTAGTAACATTCAAATTGCATTTTCTAGCTATTTTTACAAGTAAAATAAATTATTACTAATGATAGTTACCCTACAGATCTATCGAACACTGTCTTCTTTTTGTCTGTCTAACTGTGTATTTGTATAAATTAATCAATTTATCTTCATCCCTCTCTTCCCCCTCACCTACCTAGCTTTTGGTACTACCAATATACTCTACCTTCATGAGATCTAATTTTTTAGCTCCCATATATGAGTGAGACCATGCAGTATTTGTTTTTCTGTGCTTGTCATAGTTTACTTAACATAATGACTGCCAATTTCATCCATGTTGCTGCAAATGACAAAATTTTACTACTATTTTTATGACAATAATATTTCATTGTGTATATAGACCACTGATAGTTTTGATCTGTGTCCTTGCCCAAATCTTATATACATTTGTAATCCCCAATGTTGGAGGTGGAGCCTGGTGGGAAGTGATTGGATCTTGAAGGCAGTTTATCATGACTGTTTATCACTATTACCCTTGCTGCTGTGCTGTTCTCATGATAATGAGTGAGTTCTCATGAGATCTGGTTAAAGCAAGCTCTTAGAGACCTACAAAGAGACTTAGACTCCCACACAATAATAGTGGGAGACTTTAACACCCCACTGTCAATATTAGACAGATCAACGAGACAGGATATTAACAAGGATATTCAGGACTTGAACTCAGCTCTGGACCAAGTGGACCTAATAGACATCTACAAAACTCTCCACCCCAAATCAACAGAATATACATTCTTCTCAGCAACTCATCACACTTATTCTAAAATTGACCACATAATTGGAAGTAAAACACTCCTCAGCAAATGCAAAATATGGAAATCATAGCAGTTTCAGACCACAGTGCAATCAAATCAGAACTCAAGATTAAGAAACTCATTCAAAACTGGACAACTACATGGGAACTGAACAACCTGTTTATTGTGGCAGTATTCACAATAGCAAAGACTTGGAACCAACCCAAATGTCCATCAATGATAGACTGGATAAAGAAAATGTGGCACATATACACCATGGAATACTATGCAGCCATAAAAAAGGATGAGTTCATATCCTTTGCAGGGACATGGATGAAACTGCTGGAAACCATCATTCTCATCAAACTAACACAAGAACAGAAAACCAAACGCCACATTTTCTCACTGATAACTGGGAGTTGAATAATAAGAACACATGGACACAGGGTGGGGAATATCACACATCAGGGCTTGTTGGGGGGTGGGGGACTAGGAGAGGGATAGCATTAGGAGAAATACCTAATGTAGGTGACCGGTTTATGGGTGCAGCACACCACCATGGCACGTGTATACCTACGTAACAAACCTGCAGATTCTGCACATGGACCCCAGAACTTAAAGTATAATATAAAAAAGAAAAAAACGTATGTAGTACCACTCCTCCTCTTTCTTGCTCTTGCTCCTGCCATATAAGACATCTTGCTCCCCCTTTGTTTTCCCCCGTGGTTGTAAGCTTCCTGAGGCCTCCCCAGAAGCTGAGCAGATGCCAGCATTACGCTTCCTGTACAGCCTGTGGAACTGTGAGCCAATTAAACTTCTTTTGTTTACAAATTACCCAGTCTCAGGGAATTTTTTTGTGTAATGTGAGAATGGACTAATACAAGCATATTTTCTCTCTTCTTTCATCAACTGATGGACACTTTAATTGATTCTGTACCTTTGCTATTGTGAACAGGGCTGCGATAAACACGAGAGTGCAGATATCTCTTGAATACATTGATTTTCTTTTTTTATAATAAATCCAGTAGTGGAAATCCTATATCATATCAGTGCTTTTTGTAATTTTTAGAGGAACCTCACTTTCCATAGTGGTTGTATTAATTTATATCCCCCCAAACAGTGTACAAGTGTTACTTTTTCTCTATCTCCTTGCCAGCATCTATTATTCCTTGTGTTTTCGAAAAAAAGTAATTTTTAACTAGGGTAGGATGATATTTCATTGTATGAATTCATTTGATGACTAGTGATGTTGAGCATTTTTCATTTCTTATTTTGAGTAATTTCTGGTAAGATCTTTTGCCAATTTTTAATCAGATTATTTGTTTTTGCTATTGAGTTGTTTTAGTTTCATATATATTCTAGTTATTAATCTCTTGTCAGATGGATAGTCTGCAAATACTTACTCTTACTGTGTGGGTTCTGTCTTCACTTTGTTTACTTTTTCTTTGCTGTGCAGAAGCTCTGTATCTTGATATAATCCCAATTGTCCACTTCTACTTTTGTTGTCTGTGCTTTGAGGTCTTACACAAAAAATCTTTGCTCAGGCCAGTGTTCTGCTGTGTTTCCTCCTTGTTTTATTCTAGCTATTTTGTAGTTTCGTAAGAGATTTAAGTCTTTGACATATTTTAATTTGATTTTTGTATGTAATGAGAGATATGGGTCTAGTTTCATTCTTCTGCATATGGTTACTTAGTTTTTCCATTCTTTAATAAATAGTTGTTTATTAAAGACACTTCCCTTTCACGATTGTCTGCTCTTGCCACCTTCGTCAACGATGATTTGTCTATAAATGCATGGATTTATATCTGGGCACTCTCTTCTGTTCCATTGGTCCATGTGTCTGTTTTTACATCTCTACAATGCTTATTCGGTTATTATAGCTTTGTAGAATAATTGGAAGTCAGGTAGTGTGATGCCTCCAGGTTTGTATTTTTCTGCTCAGGGTTGCTTTTACTATTTAGGGTCTGTTGTGGTTCCATATAATTTATAACATTGTTTTCCCATTTTGTGAAGAATGCCATTGTTGTTTTCATAGAAATTGCACAGAATCTACAAATTGTTTAGTTAGTATGATAATTTTAACAATATTAATGCTTTCAATCCATGAAAATTAATGTCTTTCCATTTTGTGTGTCCTCAATTTTTTTTTCCACAGTGTTCTGTAGTTTTTATTGTAGATATATTTCACTTCCTCATTTAAATTTATTCCTAGGTGTTTTTTGTAACTTATTATAAATAGAATTGCTTGTTTGATTTATTTTCATGATTAGTGTATAGAAATGCTACTGATATTTGTATGCTGATTTTGTATCCTGAAACTTTGCTAAATATACTTTACCAGTTCTGAAAGTTTTTTCAGTAAAGTTTATAGGCATTTTAAAAAATATATAAGATTATAACTTCTACAAAGGAGGAACAATTTGACTTTCTGTTTTCTAATTTGTATGCTCCATATTTCTTTCTCTTGCCTAGATTCTCTGATTAGGATTTCTCATACTATGTTAAATAAAAGTGATGAGAGTGAGCATCCTTGTCCTTTTCCAGTTCTCAGAGAAAAATCTTTCCACTTAATTAAATTAGCTATTTTTAACTATAAATAATAACAAGCATTGGAATAAACTGTGAAAGTCTAACTCATTTCTCTATTAAAATAAGAAAGGAGTCAGAGGTATATTATAATCACTATTATCCAAATTGGTTTTTTATTTTGTTATGTTTAATGTAATTATAAAAATAAAATATAGCCAAGATAAACATTAAAGGAAGAGCAAACTTTATTTGAAAACAATAATTTTGAATATGTAAAATCTAAAAGAAAAAATCACAATTTGTTAAGTTTTTTGTTTAAAGTCTATTTTGTTTGAAATGATTATAGTTACCCTGCTCTCTTTTGGTTTCCATTGACTTTGAATATCTTTTTCTGTCTCCTCACTTTTAATCTATCTGTGCCCTTAAAACTGAAGTGAATCTCTTGTAAGCAACATATGCTAGTTGCATTTTGTTTTTCATTCAGCTAGTATATGTCTTTTGACTAGAGAATTTCATCAGTTTACACTTAAAGTAATTATTATTTGGTCAGAACTAAATATTGTCATTATTTTGGCTTTAAAATATATATTTTGTTTCTTTATTCCTAAATTTGAGTCTTCCTTTATGACTTGATGATTTTCTGTGGTGGTGTGATTTGATTCCTTTCTCTTTATCTTATGTGTATCTGCTTATGTTTTCTTTTTGTTGTTACCATGAGGATTACATAAAACAATTTGTTATAACAGATTATTTTATGTTAATAACAACTTAGCTTTTATGGAATACAAAATCTCTACACTTTTACTTTCCTCTTTGACATTTTATGTTTTTCTTATCACAATTTACATCTTTTTATATTGTGTACCCATACACATTGTTATAATTTTAGTTATTTTTCCTGCTTTTGTCTTTTGAGTTTTTGCTAGAATAATAAGTGATTTACACACTACCATTACAGTATTAGAGTATTCTAAATTTAGCTATGTAATTACATTTTCTAGCATGTTTTACAGCATGTTTTATTCCAGCATATGTTTTTCTGTTACTAGTGTCCTTTAATTTTAGGTTAATAAACTCTCTTTAACATTTCCTGTGTGTCAGATCAAGTGGTAACAAGCTCTCAGCTTTTGTTTGTAAAAAATGTTTAATCTTCCCTTCTTTTTGCAAGAAAATATTGGCCAGATGAATTTTTGTTGATAGTTTGCTGGAGGTTTTTGTTTTTGTTTTTTCATTCTGTAGTTTGAATATATCATCCCACTGTCTCCCAGGCTAGTGAAGAGTTAGCAGAGACTTCCAATTAACATTCTCCTATATATAATAATCTCTTTTTTGCTACTTTAGAAATTCTCTCTTTGTCTTAAATTTTTGACAGTTTGATTACTGTCTTTGTGAAATCTTTGGGTTGAAACTGCTTAAAGAACTTTATTCTTTATATACCTGTATACTCACATCCAACTCAGAATGGGGAGTTTTCAGCCATTATTTATTTGAATAAACTTTCTGTACCTTTCTCTCTTCTCCTTCAGGGACTGTCCTAATGTGTAAGGTAGCTGTCTTGATGGTTCCCTGTAAACCTCACAGGCTTCCTTTATTCCTTTCTATTATTTGGTAGTTTTTATCTCCTGACTAAATATTTTCATATGACTTTTCTTCAAGTTCACAGACTTTTACATATGCTTTGTAAGTCCTCTGTTGGCACTCACTATTGTCTATAATTTTATTCATTTTGTTTTCTAGCTTCAGAATTTATGTTTGGTTCTTTTTATGATTTCTATATCCTCATTAAACTTCTTATTTTGTTTATCTATTATTTTTCTGATATCATTGAGTCATCTGTGTTCTCTCGTAGTTTACTGTAGTCTGTTAAAATATCTATTTTGAATTCTTTTTCAAGCAATTCATAGGTTTCCATTTTGTTGAGTCAGTTACTAAAATATTGTGCTCCTTTGGCAGTGTCATATTTTATTCATTTTTTAGTGCTCTTGAAGTCTTACATTTGGCATTTGAAGAAGTCATCTTCTCCAGTTTTTGCTAACTGGCTTCAGGAGGAAAATGCTTTCACCAGTTAGTCTGCCTAAGAGTTCCAAGTCTCCCTCAGACATTTTTTATATTTGTGTTTACTTCACACCTTTTGTTCCTTTTTGGGGAAAACTTAGTAAGATTGAATGGCTTCTATCAATCACACAAAGCCAAGCCAGGTGCTGAGAACCTCTTGTTTGCTTTCCTTAGGGTAATACCATGAAATGCTCAAGTTTGTGTGCCTTCTCCCCATCGTGCTGACTGAAACTAGTCTGTGCAAGAAAATTGCACCATCCACTGGGATAACCCCTGAGAGCTGCTCTGGGGAGGAAGGGTTGAGGCCTATGGAGCACTTGGGTACCCGTCACCAGTTGAGGGGAGGGTCCACAGGAAAAGCATTCAAAACAGCCCATGGCAAGCTTCCTAATGGAAACTTCAGAGCAATTGGTAGAGTCTACTCTTCTGTGCTCTCGTCCTTTCTTAATCCCTCACCTGTCCTGATCACCTCAGTATTCTGTGTGGAGCAAGAAAGAAGTCAGCATCTCTTCCGGCTTTGTCCAGTATGGCTGGGAAAACAGGGCACTTCCTACACTCTCACTTTCCCCTGTGGGAGAAAATAGTAACCAAACAGGTTTATCTTGGCACTAAGCTGTGCTGCCTTGGGAGGAGGAAAAATTCAAAAGTGAAACGCTTCTTACCTTCTTCGGTGCATCTATTCTCAGACTTTTTTCTCCAATGGTGTGCTGAAACTTCTCTGCTAGGCTCACAGACTCCCACAAAGGTGCTCTTGTCTGTGGGTCTGTGGGTAGTTAGCAAAATTGATGCTTCTGTGGAAGGATTATCCTAGAAAGTGCCTATTCTATTAGCTTGCAGACATCACTTTGCAATATTGATTTTTTCTTTTTGATTTTTTAAAGTTATGAAGTAATAAATCACTCCTTTTAGTAATCTATACATTTAAAATATATTCCTTTTGATCAGACATACATTTTTGTCAATTATTTTTCTTTTTCACTTTTTCAAATATACACATGTACACATGTATTCATATGCATATACACACATGAATACATGCATATATAAACATAGTTCAATTAATATTTTTCAATCTGGTCTTTTAAATATGAATAAAGTAAAATCACTCTTTACAACTGTGCTTTTGTTAATTTTGTTCATTTTTCTAAGTTTTTTGCTTTTTTGTGAGAGAAAAGTGTTACATATTTATGGGCATATAGCACTTTATAACTTTTTTCCTTTTTTGTGCACGGTAATTATCTTTATCATGTAATGTCTTTTTTTACCCAGCTCATTAAAATAGGCCTGTGGTACCACTTGGTCAGATATTAACATGTTTTCTGTTGTCTCATTTTGACTGTTTTGTTTTAAATACTATTTGTCTTTTAATTTTTATTTTTACTATTTTTTTAATCTATGCCTATTTTATTTAGATGGTTTCCTTCTGGCTAGTATTGTAAAGCCCATAGTCAGATGGGTCAAATGTAATGATTTGTCATTTCTCTCTTGCTCAAAACATGTAATTACCAAGAAAAGTACATTTACATTCATGTGTATAACAGAGAGAATAACCAAGAACAATAAACAGATTGTCAAATAGCATAGCCAAGGTTGAAAAACAAATATTTCACCATTTGGAAATTAAATTGAGAGATAGTATTATTAAGTGTGGATGAATCTACAAGCATGCCACAGCATGTTGGAATCCAGATCTGGAAGCAGAAATAAAGCGTCCAAGCAGTAACAGGGAATATGACAGCTCCATGCAAAAAGTGGTCTAGAGACAAACTCTGCTTGTATTCAGGGATTTTGAAGAGGAGTTTCCACTTGTGGAAATAAAGTCCCAATGAAATGCTATACACCAAGCTCTTAGTTTCAAGCTTATAATAGCTTGCAGGTCTTGGGAATTAGGAATCCATAGATATTGTCAGGTGACTAGGAACTAAAGAATGTTACCATTGGCTAGATCATGAAATATCCCATACTGCAACAATATTAGAATTACAAATCATTATTGTAGTTGTGAGGAGTCAAATCCCTTCAAAGATGCTATATTTTGAGGTATGCACATAGAGAAAAGTCATTTTATAAAAAAATCTAAGGCATAAATAAAAAATAAAACAACTACTCCAATAACAACAAAATTTTCTACTTAAGCTAAGAAACTCCAATTTCAAAACACATATTTGGAACATTATTTATTATTATTATCATCATTTTTAAGAGATGGGGTCTCATTCTGTTGGCCAGGCTGGAGTGCAGTAGTATGATCATAGCTCACTGCCCATTGAACTCTTAGGCTCAAGTTATCCTCTTGCCTTATACTCTAGAATAGCTAGGATCAAAGGCACGCACCACCATGACTTGCTAATATTTTTTATTTTTATTATTATTTAGACACCACATCTCACTATGTTGTCGAGAGTGGTCGCAAAGTCCTGGGCTCAAGCGATACTCCAACCTCAGCCTCCTAAGTAGCTGGAATCACAGGCACGAGACACTGCTCCCAGCATATTTGGAGCATTAAACTGATAAATGTAGAACTTATAATATAAAAATTTATTTAAAAAATAATAACAGAAGTATGTTTAGGCTTAAGAAGAAAAATCTGTAAACTAATAAAAATATACTAAGTAAAACATGGAAATAGGCAGCCATTAGAAAAAGAAATATGGGGCGGGGCGTGGTGGCTCATGCCTGTAATTCCAGCACTTTGGGAGGCCAAGGCAGGCAGATCACGAGGTCAGGAGATCGAGATCATCCTGGCCAACAGGGTGAAACCCCGTCTCTACTAAAATACAAAAAAAAAAAAAAAAAATTAGCCGGGCATGGTGGTGCGCCTGTAGTCCCAGCTACTGGGGAGTCTGTCTGAGGCAGGGGAATAGCTTGAACCCTGGAGGCAGAGGTTGCAGTGAGCCGAGATCACACCACTGTACTCCAGCCTGGCAACAGAGCAAGACTCCGTCTCGAAAAAAAAAAAGAAAAAGAAAAGAAATATTGGAAATGAAAAATACAGTTATTGATAAAAAATAAAATTGATGGTGTAATACTACCTATCACTCATTATGTACTTATCCGTATACGAAGCATCACATTCACTTAAAAGCACCTTGTATTAGATCCTATCATTTCTGAATTTCATACACCTTACAAGGCAGACCTGGAGCTTCATGCAGCCATAAAATCTGGTTCCAGATTAGGTATTTTTAACCACTCTGCTACTGCCTCTCAACCAAGCCAGAACTGATCTGAGTTAATCAAAAGACAGGACTGGAGAATGCAATGAGCTGTGAGAAAATTTGATTAAGATACGAAACAGAATGGATACATATGCAAAAGTAATAGTTAAAGTAAAATGGATGAAATTTTTTTCAGAAAAAAGGACATGGATTAGAAGTAAAGGCATTCTGTGTTCCAGGTAGGATGAATTATATTAAATACATATTTTGTGAAATTCCAGAGCATAAAAATAAAGACACTATTTTAAAATCTACTCAACAGAAAGATAAATCCCAAAAAGGAAAAATTTTGAAAAGATTTTTCACCACCAAAATAGATAATAGAATAAAATTGAAATATCTCCCAAATATTGAGGGAAATCTTATTAATCTAAATTTTTATACCAGTTAAGGTACACTTTTATGATTCATAATATAATATCATATTTATATAGAGAAAGACTAACATTGTATCACTCACAGACTCTTACTAAAAGAAAAATTAGAAATGAGAAAAGGGATCCCCCATGGCAAATGTGAGATATAAAAACACTTTTTTAAATGATAAAATATGTAGGTTAATTTCATTTAACAACTGATAGCAAAATAAAATTAATGTTTTCTTATTTTAAAAGGTAAAATTTGAAAGCTAAACCACAGTAAAAATATGTGGCAAGTTTCATTTATATTTAAGTTTATCTGAGGAAAAAAGTAAATAAGAAAGTCAAACTAATGTGACTATTACATCATTTAAGTGCTCAGTAGTGACCTCATGTAAAGGAACCTAATGTAAGGGCTTAATAATTATACATGAATATGATATAAATATCAATATAACTTTTAAAAATACATAAGATCATTTTCACCAACAAATTTAAACCATGGATTATTTTTGGAAAAATATATATTTTCAAAATTAATTGAAGAGCAATTGTCTATTTGCTATAAACAATAAACTTTCCAATGATTGAAGATTTGAGTTAGAACAACAACTCTATAACCACCAAATTTTATATTAGGTTATTCCAAAATGCAAAAAATAGAAAATCTTTATTTTATATAAAGACTTTCTAAGGCTATTATCACTCTATTATTGGAATATTCTTAATACCAATTTATCTTTGAAAGAGGCATAGGGTTCTATAGTACATTATTTTTAAATGTCTATCTTTTTGAAATAATCACATTTCCATCTTGGACTTCAAAGCAGTTAATTATACTTGGGAACAACGATAAGATTAATTTGATGCTCATAATGCAGATATATTCACATTAAAATATAATAATGGTAAATCATGCTTATTACAAATTCTATTTTCTAGTTTTTAATCTTTTTTTTTTAGTAAGAATACATATCTAAAAACAGATGAAGCAAATTTCTTTAACAAATAGGCTTCAGAATCCTCAAATCTCAAGAGTTGGAATGATTAAACGCACTTTTACTAAACCTCTAAAGTGTACTTCAATATGTAACTCTTAATGAGTCTGTATTTCCTATTTGTGACTTTTCTCTCCTCAATGAGACTGTCAACTCCTTGAAAAGATAAAACATGCAGGATATTACCTTGATTGTACGAGAAACGCAAATAGAAATTGTTCTACCTAACAAACAATACAGTTTTAAAAGTGTAGGATCAGATCATTAGAAAACATTTCTCAGTGTAATGACCTGGATATTTGTAATCACCTTCAAATAGTTTAAACTTGTTATACAATTTCAAAGTTTGAACTTTAAAATGTTTTTGACCCAAACTATCTTCATACAAATATAATCCCTATGAAACTTGTTTTTTATTGCTACCTTTGGATATTGTCTTTATTATAAACAATTTCGGTTTTCTTATATAATAAGACATTATATATAAATATTGTGAAATATTTCATATTTTTCAACCTTTGTCATTAAGATGTTTATCTTTTAACTTTCATTAGTACATTCCATCCAGTTTAAAACAAACAATGAATTACTGATTGTTTTATTGCCTCTCTTTCTAACCTTGAACTCAATTATCAGTAAAGAAAAAAAATTGCAATGAGGAAAAAACACTGAAAGATGAGTGGATAAATAGATAGATACATAGATAGATAATAGATGATAAATAGAAGTGTTATGAATTTGGAAATCAATCACTATTACCATGTTTTTAACAAAACATGAACTTTTTTGTTCAAGAACAAGTTTTTTTTTGGTCAAGAAAAATTACTTTTATTGAAAATATTCTTCTTTAATGTGCATGCAAATCATCAGGAGACCTTATTAAAAATGCTTTGCATGCTTTTTTTGTTTTTTCCAAGTAAGTGGAACACATAATACTTTCACATGGTACAAATTCCTTACTTTGAAGACACGCTAATCAAACTGGTCCCTGAACTAATTGCATCATCCTCACCTGGGGACTTTGAAAGCACAGAATCTCATTTACACAGAAAAAATACAAATTATAAATATTAAGCGAATGCCACTGGAGTCATCATCAATCTGCGCAAAAAAAAAAAAAATCTCTCTTCTCTTTTCCGTGTTATTATTCTTAATTGTATCAACCTTATAGGCTTTTCATCTCATTTCAGTATTACTTAAAGTGAATTCTAACTTGCCTGCTTTTGACCCTCAATCATTTGTGTCATATTCAACTTCTATAGTCACAACAACCTTTGCCCAGCAAATTTTCAGTGATCCTTTGTTATTGAATTAAACCAAATTCATTTGGTTTATAGTTAAGATTTGCCATAATATGCCCCTAAACTTTCCCTCTTAACAACATGCGTCATTATTTCTTCATGGAAATTCTGTATTCCTGGCAGTCTGGCTGGTCTTTGGCTATCAAATATACATTATTGTTTTCTAGCCTTAATTTTACTTTTTATTCCAGAAAAGAATAGAAGGTAAAATCCAATGTTGCAAAAATTTTCTGAGGACACAGAAATGATTTCTATGGTTTTCGTGAAGTTTACCTTATATCTAGAAAAATTATATGCAAAAATACTAGGATACCTCCTAAGTGAAAGTTATTTTCATATATTACAAGAAACTGTGAAAAATAAGAAAAATGTAAAACCATGGTAACAGGTAGGAAAGTATTTTATTTTTAGATAGAGTTCCACAAACCACAGTTCACTTGTACAAAAAATTATAGCAAGGGTATTGACAGATGAGGAATATTTCCGAGTTAAATATTAAGTCATAGAAATTTCTAAATACTAAACTCACTTGTACAAAAAATTATAGCAAGGGTGTTGGCAGATGTGGCATATCTCAGAGTTAAGTATTAAGTCATAGAAATTTCTAAATAGTAAACATATATGACAAACACAGAGGACAAAAAGTACGGAGAGAAAGGTGAGTTTTAAATGATTCAGAGCTTTTTGTGATATATTCTGTTCCTGCATCCAGTAATTCTGCTTAACATTTTTTCCTTCATTTACAAGTGTGAATACGATTTTCTTTAGTTCTTCAAGAGATGGGACGAGCTTGTCTTGTAAAATATCCTTCACTTTCTTTCAACGTTCACACAACTGTCATGCATTGCACATTCACATCCTTATTTTCTTTTGCATGCCAGATTCAGATTTTTATACCTCAACTGGTGAAAGAACATTTTGAGGTATTATACGATGCTGCTGCTTGCTATTATATTTTGGCAATGTCTCCAACTGCATACATTGGTATTTTTGTACTTCTGAGTGATTTATTTCACTCTTCTGATATAAATTTATAAAAAGAATATAAAATGAAAAGAAATTCTTAAATCAGTTTTAAAAGCATGATAAAAGTGGGGCAACATTGAAATTCATGAGGCATATCTAAAATAGCCTCAAGTGGACAATTTTTAGATTTACACTAGTCAACTATTGATTCAGTTGTGCAGCAAGATGAAGAAATGAATGAAACTGTATGTCATTCTATAAAGACAGCATTTAAATATTTTCTAAAGCAGCTAGTACAACAATGAAGTTTACTGTCTATTTTTATGTTGTGAACTCTGGAAATAGCATTTATAATATCACTTTAATATCTTGATTTCTTCAGTTTTTCTGGAATTTCAGATGAAACAAAATAGGGAACTTTGAAAGTCTTGTCACTGGGGTAGAATCATTCTCTGTCATGAGCTCAGGCAGCTCTATTGGCATTAGTCTCTCTCTTCCAAGTCCTGGAAAAGGATTGACAGAGCTTTTCTGTAGTCATTGGAGTTCACTGCAGGTTTATTCTTATGTCAAACAGAACCTCCCAGGGCCATTCGAGTTTATCCTCTGCTCTAGATAAGAAGCAGCCATATCTTTTTATGTCTACAGCATGCAAACTTTAGGATAACTGTTCTTAAGCTTCACTTCAGCACAAAAATGAAAATGACAGTGAGTATTATACTCTCTAAATTCCAGCAAAAAGAAATATTGTTAAGTCCAGGAGTTTGTATTTAAAGTACTATTTTGTTTTCAAGGGTATATTAAACAAAAAATACAGAGTCTACACTTAAGAAAATATGTGACACATACATAAAAATAAGCAAGAAAATAAAAATATATATTATTGAAGGGACTAAATAGTTTCAACAGGACGTTGTTCAGAGGCATAGTAACTGACAACCATTTCCAGAGTATACTAAGTTTTTCCTTCCATTTCTATTGAGCAATGCCAAAGCAATTTCCTGTGTACTTCGGATACATATGTGAAAAAACATATAATTATTGACATTTGGAGCTCTGTAGTATTCTAAAAGCTTAAATTATATCATTAGCTTTAAACACTTGTGGAAAAAATAAATAACGTGGAGATTCATGGATTATTTAGAAAATGTATTATTCCAGACACTAAAGGAAAAGGAAATTCCAGAAGGATTCTTTTTTTTTTTTTTTTTTTTTTGAGACGGAGTCTCGCTTTTTGTCCAGGCTGGAGTGCAGTGGCGAGATCTCGGCTCACTGCAAGCTCCGCCTCCCGGGTTCACGCCATTCTCCTGCCTCAGCCTCCCGAGTAGCTGGGACTGCAGGCGCCCACCACCACGCCCGGCTAATTTTTTGTATTTTTAGTAGAGACGGGGTTTCACCGTGTTAGCTAGGTTGGTCTCAATCTCCTGACCTCGTGATCCGCCCGCCTTGGCCTCCCAAAGTGCTGGGATTACAGGCGTGAGCCACCGTGCCCGGCATAGGATTCTTAATTATTGATTATTTACATTCATCTACGACTTGTTCATGTTTCACCATATGCTATTGTGGTTCATGAAGTTACTTTTAAAATAATTGCTTATAAATATTTTAGGGCTTGAAGAAATTGATTCCTTTTAACAACCTAAGCATGACTTTGTATTTGTGATTGTCTAAAAGCAATTTCATTACAAAATATTTTTTCATATGACATAGCATTTTTCTTACATTTATTTTTACCTTTGAATCTGGAGAAATCTAATTTACTTGTCTTTTTATTGAAGTGTTTTCTAATTGACTAAACTCCAGCACAATACAGCCAAACTTCCAATCATATTATGCTTTATGCTTTCAAGGTTCTTTATATAACCTAGTCAGTCATCTGAACATCTGCTAATATGTAGTCAATGGCATTTTAATATTACTGAGTTCCCATAACTGTATATTTGCAAATACTGAAAGTTCCTTATGACCTTTGTGAAAATTATAAAAATGACTATAAATGTCTGAACAGCTAGACAAAACAAACAGCACTGGGTATTCCAAAAGTGTGATGTATTACCCACAGAACATCTGTGCTATGAATGTTTAAATCTACATGAAATGTGCCTTCATACAGCGAGCACCTAGGAAGACCAAACATCCTGGTGATTTTGTATAACACACTGGTCCAAAAGTAAGGAAATCCTATCTAAGTATAATAAAAATCATAAAACATCTGCAAAGTCCTGATCTGGGAAGATGACATTCTGGTCAGAGTGGCACACTTTGCCCTGCTAAGGTCTCTGTGAGGAGGTGATGTTGTGTAAAACAAACAAAAACATGATTAATATGTTTTTAAGTTGTTCCTCAAATAGAGTATGTTTACCTCATATTAAATAATCTTCAGTATATATAATTTTAATGAACCTGAGGTCTCACCATATCAGCTATTTATTTGTTATTGTTGTTGTTGTTTTCTGTTGCCCTTAATGTAAACTACTGATATGTATGCTTCAGCATGTTTATAAATTAAGGAGTAAACACCTAGAAAGTAGAAAGTTTTTCCATGCCTGTTTTTCAATTTTTTACATAATTTTTTACTTCTCACACATTAAATAGGTAGGTAGCATGACTCAGAAACATAATGGGCCTTAAAGTTCATAAATAATTTTCTCTAGTGACAGTGTTGTTAATGAAGAGGAGTGATTTTACTGCTGGAATTACAGTATTTTTCAACTTTCTGAGTAAAAATTGTGCCGGATTTCCCAAAGGTGCCTGACTTTCTTGGGAGAAAAATTAGGGTTATTTGTATTGATAACAATCATCTTTTGTAAGAACTATTGGATATAGATATTCTTAAACATAATTCATAGAAGCATTCAAGAAAAATTATATAAGCAATAGCCATACGTAACAACGAACATTGCTAAATAAAAACACATAAATGTTCTATCTTCTAATTTTAAGTGACCAAGTTAAAAGCACTATTTGCCAAGTGTTGTGCTAAGTCTATTATATCATTTATTTCTACGACAAATTTCTAAGAAGCAATTTTTAATTCATTTGTATACATCATAAAACTTAGCCTTAAACAGGTAGGTAATTGGCTTGAGGTGTGAAAGGCAGAAAAGGATGGGGCTGTGGGTGGAACTCAGGTAATCCTACTGCAAACTTTATGCTCTTAACCACTCAATCTGCTGGACATTAGACAACTAATAATACTGATTCTCAGGGACTACATCCCCCTTTACATTTCAATGCATTTTCCTGCATAGAAAATGCTGTTCCATTGTTCTCTGATTTTGAATTGAAACACAAATAGCATAGGAGAAAATGTTCACACCATTTCCGATTGTACCTCTCACATAGAGACTGACAGAAGGAAGCCATTTTATCACATTACGATCAGTCACACTTGCAAATGCCATAAGTGTCAACGTGAAAAAGTCTGCTCTTTCTGCTGGTTTCTTGGATGAGTTATTTCTGTCATTTAATTTTAAAAAGCAAATATATTGACCTATACTGACATTTCTCTTTTATATAAGCATAATAAAAAATACCATGAATAGACATTTTTTCTCTCATGATTTAATTCATACTATCCTCAATTAAAATTTCAAAAGCTATCATACTATAGTGAACTTGTATAATTTAGAACCTTTAATTAACTTTAAGTATAATTTTCTCTTTTATCTTCATGAGTAAAACATAGGGCAGATCTGGAGTTTGGGGAGTTGGAAACATTAAAAGAAAAGCTTAACTATATTTTTATTTGATTTTCTTATAAAATATTTGGTATTTTTTTCCACAGAAAAGAATTAAAAATGTGTATACTCAAAATACTATGATTATTTTAAGAGAAGTGAGATTTCTGATGGGAAGAAAAACGTTTCAATTATTACACGTTCATAATCTTCAGCAACCTTATTAGTCTCTGTAGAAGGTTTAGGAGCAAAGGGTATGCAACTAGGATTATATGCCAAATTTTACAATTCACCTTGTATGTGCATGTGCCTGTGTGTTATCCTTTGGGAAGAGAGCCTCTTTACTGACCTGTATTTCTCTGATGCAGCCCTACTTAGTCTGAGGCATACATTCATTTGGACTCCTTAATGGTTGCAGTGATATCCTTGTGATGACAGGAAGTTTGCATCTGTTTTCATTTCTTAACAAAAAGGAGAAAATGGTAGATAATACAGAACTAGAGGATTGTAAATGAAACTTCCTCCAAAATTGTTTTATTTATCACTAACAAGGTACTCTTTTTACTCAAAACATTCATTAGTTCAATATAATTCAATTAGCAAATCTGCAAAGTGTTTCCCATGTGCAAAGGCTGTGTTTGATTAAAGGCTGATTTTCTTCCACATAAACAAATGGACTCTCAGAAACATATCTAATTGTCATCTTGATATTCTGGAAATGATTATTTAAATGCAATATATTATATTAGAGAGTTTTTGGAATGGAAAGTGTGCTTGCATAGGATTACAATTCTATGTTGTTTTCTAGAACTAATGCTCATTTTCTCCAAATTCTCAATTGTATGAAATCAGCTTCACTGGCTATCAGAGAAATGCAAATCAAAACCACAATGAGATACCATCTCACACCAGTTAGAATGGCAATCATTAAAAAGTCAGGAAACAACAGGTGCTGGAGAGGATGTGGAGAAATAGGAACACTTTTACACTGTTGGTGGGACTGTAAACTAGTTCAACCATTGTGGAAGTCAGTGTGGCGATTCCTCAGGGATCTAGAACTGGAAATACCATTTGACCCAGCCATCCCATTACTGGGTATATACCCAAAGGACTATAAATCATGCTGCTATAAAGACACATGCACACGTATGTTTATTGCGGCATTATTCACAATAGCAAAGACTTGGAACCAACCCAAATGTCCAACAATGATAGACTGGATTAAGAAAATGTGGCACATATACACCATGGAATACTATGCAGCCATAAAAAATGATGAGTTCATGTCCTTTGTAGGGACATGGATGAAATTGGAAATCATCATTCTCAGTAAACTATCGCAAGAACAAAAAACCAAACACCGCATATTCTCACTCAGAGGTGGGAATTGAACAATGAGATCACATAGACACAGGAAGGGGAATATCACACTCTGGGGACTGTTGTGGGGTGGGGGGAGGAGGGAGGGATAGCATTGGGAGATATACCTAATGCTAGATGATGAGTTAGTGGGTGCAGCGCACCAGCATGGCACATGTATACATACGTAACTAACCTGCACAATGTGCACATGTACCCTAAAACTTAAAGTATAATAAAAAAAATAAAAATAAAAAAATAAATAAAAAAGAACAAAAATTTCTCCTTAATATAGGAATCTTTCTAAATTTCTAGAGGAAACTGTATCCTAAATATCAAATATAACAGTTTTACTCAAAAACAGGTATCTTAATTATTTCAGTAATGACAGCATAGATCCATAATGGACACATTTGAAGCGACTGAAACAAAAACACAAATCTCTTCTACTTTCCAAAATAATAAATTTCATTTTTCTTTGTCCTATCTGATGGCAAATAAATACAATATAATAAAAAAAAAAGAAATCAGCTCTTTTTACACATTTTATTTTTGCTTACCTAAAGAAGAAAACACAAACCGGATATTGGACCAATATGATTTTCCCAACTTTAGGGAATCTCAATTCCTATTTCGTATTTTTTTTAAATTTCCTAATCATGGATGGTTTTAGACTTAGATCAAATAGGCAACTACCTGTTTTGTATGACTGGAGAGGTGTCTCGGAAAAGCATCATTGAATCCGCTTTACACCTACCATATACACACATTTCTTAATATTTCTCTCTCAGACTGAAACAACTGTCTTCATCTGCTATCATTTTATTTCTAGACACCCAAGACTATTGTTTTATGTAAATTACAAGTGCCAGATCATTGAGGTAATTTCATTTCAATGTGCACAGGTAGCTAAGGTAATTTTTCAGAAACTAACTAACACTTAGTAGGGAAAGTTTTCTTTAATAACTGTCTTTTAAGCTAGGCCTCCCTGGGGAAGTTGGTCAGGCTACTGCAAGAAGTCAGAGTACTCGGGGAGAGAGGCAGTTACTGGAAAGAATAATAAGGAAATAAAAAAAATTAACAGAAAATGTCAAGACACCTGTATTTGGTAGAGGACTGAAGCCCACTAACCAAGAAATATGTAGATATTAATTTAGCCCTGGCTGTCACTGTGGACAATCTACAAAGTTCTTCTGAGGATATTACACAGGGTGCTTGTGTATATAAGCTTTAATGTTCCTCCTAGTTTAGCAATTTATCTTATCACTTGATTTTCTAAAGACATCTCTGCCCCTGTTCTCTTCTAAGAAATAACAACAAGGAAGGCAGAGAAGGGAGGTAATTATCCATCATTGATCCTGATTATACTGTAACTACCATCATTGAATTTTAATAATAAAGAGTAAAAAAAGATCAAAACATATGCTGTAGCAGAAATGAAGGAGAAAAAAAACAAAGGAAAATTCCCTAACACTCAACCATAAACTTATTGCTTTATCTCAAGGCACCACCAATAACATCTTTCTTTTAAATGTCATCATGGGGAGACTCTCGTAGGTTTCTACTTTTCCACACAGCTGGGGATTGTAGAGAAAATATTTATTTGGACAAAGTTAATTTGACAGATGTGATACCACCTGCTGTCTCTACTGTATATTTATTTGCTCCTTCTGAAATGGCTCTGTTGTATCATTCTGTCTTCAGGTATCAAAAGAAACAAACCACCCCCACCCCCACTCCTCTCCTGCATTTTCCCTCCTTTTTGAAAAACACAGGGCCATAAAAAGATGATTTGCAGAACTAGAATGAAAATCAGAATTTTATTTTTTATTAGGATGTCAACACATGCCTGCAAGGCGCACACTGCCTGCTGCTATCATTCTTTGTTGTGTAGACTCCAGCGCTGAACAGAAGAATTGGAGCTTTGTCCTTCTCGCTGGCACTAGTCTAATCATTCATTCCTGCCTCCTGCCTCCCACTCCTCAAACCTGTAGGCATATCATAATCTGGCTATTAAGAAGCTCACATTTAAAAATCACCTAACCTGCTGCTTGATAATGGGATGTTGAAAATGGATGGTCTGTTCCCTGGGAGGGCATTATCAGCTATGAACATGAGCCCAACAGTACTTCATTATATCATCTATGCTCCATCCTCAGAGCCCATTCAGAAGCTCTCAGAGGCTCACTTTCTATCAAGCTCTGGATTGACATTGGCTGTTGTGAGAGTATTATACGTTCTTCTATTTGTTGCAATTCCATGGTTTAAGCCTTGCAAAAGATCACACATGAGAAACAAAAAGAGGGTGTCCAGGTGAATAGCTCAGGGACTCTGTGACTGGCTATCTAGTGCTACCTCCAGGGTGAGAGGAGACTTCTCCAAACCAGAGCAGGGAGGGTCACTGTTTACTTTTGCTTTCTCTGAGGTTCCCAGGTGCTAGAAACCCACTTTAATAGCTGGAACACAGACTTAAATCTTTTGCCACCTGTTGGCCAGGCTGGAGCCCAACCCCACTGAGGTCTCAGCTCTGTTCCTATGAAAGCACCATCCTCTGCCTCTGCTCATCCCTCTGCAGGATTCCTAGCTGGTCCTCTGAGGCAAGGATGCATTGACATTTACCTTTGCCCTTTGCTTGATGACATTTAGTGATATTATTATTAAATTTGGAGTCCATATATTACTTGTTTATAATTCTTGTCCCTCCTGGAGACAGCTATAAAAATGTGCTACTCAGATCTCATGGGGGATGGAGTGTGGTTGACTGACAGCTCCAGCTGCTGTCCCTGGAGATCAAGGACCCCATTTCTGCTGATATCCCACTTCCCCAGATTATTCCCACTCAGTGCCTGGGTGTGTTTGAGGTGCTAGTGCTGTCCTGTTCCTAGAGCTCATCTATGCTAACAGGCCAACACTGGCTATGTAGTCCCCACTGCCTGGACAGGGACTTTCTTAAAACTGTGATGAGACCATCTAAGCAATCCTCCTTGCTTGCCCTGTGCTGTAACAGGCCAGTCTTGCCTTGCAGTCTGAAGGCTCTTTCTTCCAATTCCTGTTTCCTCCCCTCTTTCTTTCATAGGCATTTTCCTTCACAGGTCCCTTGTCAATCTTATAGTGTCTTGGTATCTGCTTCTTGGAGAATCTCAACATAGATTTACTAATTCTAAAAATCAGCCAAAACGGCTTATTAAAAAAATAACTTAAATGCTTACAAAATCAGGTTAAAAAAAGTCTGAGAGACAGATTGGAAAGTGTACAGACTAGGGAGACTCTAGCTATTATGCATTACCAACCAGGTAACATTTTGAATAGGAAGCATAAATATAAAACCTATAGGAAAGCCAAGTGTAATTTTCAAATTTTACCCTGAACTTTCTGGCATTTGGGGAAAAATAATACATATAGTAAATTATACAAAATTCCTAGTATAAATGTTACCTATTTTGGCTCTCTGGTTAAACGTTTTTGCCTGTTATAGCCGTTTATCTGTGCGGCCACCAGCTTCCTTAGGAAAACCGTCCCTCTGTGTCTTTCTCCCTCCACTATTGTCATGTTGTCTGAATAGAAGCTGCTTGCCCTTTCATGACTTTGCTTCCCCGGCTGCAGTGACAGACTGACGTGTAGACACAGGTTCACCACTCTGGACACAGTGAGTGGCTCTGCTGGACTTATTACCCAAGACTTGCCAATCAGAGTTCTTGCCTAAAAGCTTTGAACTTTCAGGCAAATCAGCCCTGCAAATAAAAGTTCTTTTTTTTTTTTCTGGAGCTCTGTTGCTTTGTACAGGAACATACCAACAACAGTCAAAGAAAATGATTAACTAAAATTGTAAGGTTTGTATGTTGAAAACAACAGAAGTGAGAGATTAAGTGTAGATGCTATTCAAATGACTGATTATAAAAATTCCTAAGGCCAGTCCATTCTTGTTCTTGCTGTGGTTTGATTATTCCATCCAATTCATTCGACATTTTTCTTAAGGTATCTTGAATCGATGTTCTGTTGTTTATGAGCCAAGAGACTTACCTAGTGTAGCTGACATTCTAATTCTGGTATTACTTTCTTCAAGACATCTCTTTAACTCGCATTGTGTGTGTTATATGATAATGAGCACCACAGACACTTGCAGAATGTGGCCTTTGCTCTTTATCTAATGGAATATAAGAATTTATTTCATTAATTTTAACCATTTTTTTCTTGTATTTTATGTAATATTTAAACATTTAGGAAATTTCAAAGAACAGTTTTAGTTTTACAAGAGTATTGCAATAATTTTAGAGTTCCTACATTTGCCACACCAAGGTTCCCCTATTCTTAACATTCTTTTGGTTAATGTCTCACAATTAATGAACTGATATTTATATATTTTTATTAAATAAAGTCAATACATTATATTTTCCCATTTTTCTCCTCATTTCTTCCTCTGTTCCAAAATCCCATCTAGGTTACTACATTACATTTACACATCTCCTTAGATTCCTCTTTGTTGAGATAGTTCCTGAAATTTTTCTTATTTTTTGATGACCTTGACAATTTTCAGGAGTTCTGGTAAAGTATATTGTAGAATGTCTTCGATTGGGAATTGTTTGATGTTTTTCTCATGGTTAGATAGTGGTGATGGTTTTTTTTAGGAGGAAGTCCACAGAGGTAAAGTGCCCTTCTCCGGACGTCATATTAGGGTATATGCTATCAACATGCTTTATCGCTGTTGATGTTAACTTTGACCCCCTCATTAGGGAATGTTTGTCAGGTTTCTCCACTATGAGGTTACTTTCTCTCTCATCCCCTTTTACATAGCATACTCCTTAATAGGAAGTCACTATGTACAGTCATGCTTGAGGATGCAAGAAAAATGCTTTTCTTCAATGGAGTGGAAACTTTCTGCATTGGAAATTTTTCTATCCTGCCCCATTTATTTTATAATTTATTTGTATAAGCATAGACTCATAAATGTTTATTTTATTCATTGGATCATAATTGAATGCCATATTATTTTGTTTCTCAAATTGTTCCAGGTTTTGGTCATTGGGAGTTGCTTCAGACTGACACCTTTGTCACTTTTACATGCCTCTAGAGTTTGTTTTTTGAACATTTTCTTCCTTTCTGGCACTCCAGGATGCTGCAGGATCATCTTGCATGCTTCTCTGTCTTAGCTCTAAAATCACTCATTTTTTTTCCTGTTGACTCTAGATTCCTTTTATTGGAAAATGCTATTAGAACCCAAGATCTGGGTGCGGGGGTATAACCATTCATTATTTTGAATGCAAAGTTCAAAAAGTTAGCATAGATATATAGAGAGAGCTAAGTATACTAACAAATATGTACACATGTATACATCTAATAAGTGAGGGATTATGAGATAGAAAGTAACATTGGTATATTCGTTTTTCAATAGTAGAACTCTTGGTCTACTTTCTGATTTTCTGTTTTCACTGTTAAATCTTTTTTTTCTTATGTTTTTGTCATTTTTGTCTAAATAGCCTCCAATAGCCTTTATTTCCCTCTTAGTTTGCAGTGACTCACCTGTAATAGGTTAATAAATAAGTGTTTTGAAATTGCATCTAGTCCTCTACAAATACAAGAACGTTTCATAGAGTTCAACATGAATGGTATTAAAGCTGACATTCTGTCAGTCATTTACTTTGTTCAGAGTTCTTACTTTTTCACTTTTTCCTCCTTTTTTATTACATTCATGTCTTGGTTTTTGCAGTCTTATCTTGGTTTTATTTCATAACCCAGAGCTGCACTTTATAGTATAACTTCTAGATAAATTTGATGTTACTACGTTGTTAATACAAATAGAGAATTAAACTAACAATTTGTTCTTTCTCTATTTTAAATTATTACAATATCTCATAGCAGCTCCAAACTTGGGCTTTCCCATTCTAATCATGATCCCCATGTATAAAAACATTCAAAAAAACTTATTTAGATATTAAGCATCATGAAAACACATACAATTCAATTTTAATTTTTCCCTCTGTTTTAAAGAAAACTGTATTCTCACGAGATAGTGAAAATCCTACTTACTCTTATATGACAAAATGGCTTTACTCTAAATTTATTGCCTTGCTGACTTTTATTTATAACCCTCTCTTCCTACCTTTATTCAGTTTGTTATTTATTTTCTGACCAGCTATGTCATGATTATATTTTTGTTTTTAATTCTAAAATTCATATTATGTGTCCTCTGAATATCATTTCCTGATATTTAATTTTAATGTTTTTAACTTTGACACAGTCTACTTTGCTTCACAGTTGTATCTAAATTTTTATTGATGGCTATTATATGTTATTTTTATGTCCAATTTTACCTTTCATGTCTCAGTTTTCAAAAGATAATTTGGAGCTCTTCTGTGGTAGTTCCATTGTCTTCTTATGTAGAATAGGGTAAATGGCCTCTGCTGAGATATAAGGAAGGTCTAGGGGTGTCCAGTCTTTTGGCTTCCCTGGGCCACACTAGAAGAAGAAGCATTTTGGGCCACACATGAAATAAGATAAAACTAATGATAGCTGATGAGGTAAAAATATATATACTGCAAAAAAAAAATCTCATGTTTTAAGAAAGTTTATAAATTTGTGTTGGGCCACATTCAAAGCCATCCTGGGCTGCATGTGGCCCAGAGGCTGTGTGTTGGACAAGCTTGGTTTAGACAATGGTATTTAAGGAAGAGAAGCCTTGCCAAGCTGACTTTCTCTCAGTCCTACCTGAAATTGGCCTTCAATCTTACCTGCCCCTTTTTTTCATCATGCTTATAGAGCTCTTGTTCCTATGAATCTCCTACCACTAGTTATCCTGCATCATCTGGTTCTTACAGGTTGTATAGTCTCTTCCCACTATCTCAGGAATTGTGGGCTAACAAGAACACAGGAATCTTCTCTCTTTGGTTTTGGTCAGACGAATACAGGAAGAAAGTAAGACAATCTGGTCCAATGGGAGAAGAAATTTAACTTTCCCCATTTTATTCCAGATATATAAAGCATTATGAAGATTCAAAATGGAGAACTGCCACTGGTTCCATGATATCTGAGTTCTTGTACATTTTATCCTCTGCCTGCTGAATTTGCTTAAGTTGGGGAAAGACAAATAAAGCACTAAATTTTAGAATTAATTATTGGCTTTCTGGAAAGGAAACTCTCATGCCCTCTGTCATCTCACTTTTACACATTCAGACATTTGGCTTTCAAACATATACTCAGGGACATTTTCATTAAGAATGAGGAAGAATCTGCCTCTGATGGAGAGCATTTTGTTTGTTTGTGCTGTATTCAGCATCAACCTTGCTGAAACATGTTTGCCAGTGAGGAAGGATAGCAGCTTATCTCTTTTTATTGGTATCTTCCTATTCAAACTTTCTCCTCTTACCTTAGCCACACTAATTCATCATCTAACTTTTCTTTGATGCTTCAGAGATTCATATCTCTTTATATAAGAATTATATCTTTTCTGATTCATTTTTTCCTGTGTTTCAGTATAAGTATTAGAACTTCTGTTGGTTTTGATGTAGTTAAATCCAATGCCTTTAATTGAATTTTCAGTTATTTCTAGGAGAATTGAGATTTCAAACTGATCGGCACTGCAGAAAATGAAATCAAAGTAACGAAGTTCCTAAAAACTTATTATAATATAATATAGTCATAGACTTTATTGAGTACTGTAAAGGGTATTAAATTTTATTATTGTGACTTACAGACTGACTAGCACATTTAATGAAGTGTAGCCACAACTCATTATGTATCAGTTATATATGGCAGTTAATCTATATAAGGGATAGGTGGTTAACAGTGTCCTAACATGTATTGGGATAACCTGCCAAAAAGAACAGGAAAAATTCTAGTGAAACTATTTAGATTTCAGGTGGCAAAGGTAAGTTATGTTTGGTAAGCAAATTACAACAGAGAACCCAAAGTTTTGTAGTCATAATACATGAAAATGTTCAATATTAAGGAACCTGAAACAAAATAATGATGTTCCATTAGGAAAGTAGAACATAAAAAGATATAATGATCAATGCAGGAAAGCTGTCTTTGTTGCAAGTTAGTATTTAGGGAATGAACTTCAATTTCCAGAGAATGAACTAGAAAAAACCAGTATAGGAAGCCAGTCCTGTAAAAAGACTATGGAGCTTTACAGGCTATTAGAACCGGAATTCAGATTCAGAACACCACATTCTGCAGACTGGGGTATGTAAAGGAGACTTATGCGTTGAAACCTAAGTGCCAATGGATGGTCGTTATAATGCATGTAATAGATTAATAGGGAAACCAATAATTAGAATTGGCCATTCTTATGCTCCTTCAGAGTTTTGGCAAGATCATGACTGGGTTCAGCTACAGAATGCTGTAGTTAGCCTCAGGATGTGGCTTTGCTAACGAACAGAATAAGGAATTTTGTTTAAAAGCAATCTCCATTCACAGCACTAATATTCAGTAGCCATTGTAAACTGGATTATCTAATTTCTCTCTATTCTGATGAGCAGGACTAATAAAGATGAGTCATTGATTTCTAAAGTCTGAGAGAGGAGCAGTCTATACTATGTGGTAATGGAATTGACATCTGTCCTGTTACTAGAAAAAAAATTGAAAAACATTTCCCATTAGTAGTGAACAAAACATCAAGGGAAGACTGTAGTAGTAAATTAACACCTACAAACAGACTATATAAACTGGGTGAAATTTTGTAAAAGTGCTTGAAGATAAATGATTTTCTGACTCAGAAAAAGAGATTTTTTTTTTTTTTGAGACTGAGTGTCACTCTGTCACCGAAGCTGAAGTGCAGTGGCGCGATCTCCGCTCGCTGCAGCATCCGCCTTGCGGGTTCAAGTGATTCTCCTGCCTCAGCTTCCTGAGTAGTTGGGATTACAGGTTATTTTTTATACTTTTTAATAGACACAGGGTTTCGCTATCTTGGCCAGGCTGTTCTCCAACTCCTAACCTCAAGTGCCTACCTGCCTTTGCCTCCCAAAGTGCTGGGATTACAGGCGTGAGCTGCTGCGCCTGGCCTTAGAAAAAGAAATTCTTAATATGCAATGGATATTTCTACATGAAGAACAAATTAAGCATTATTAAGTACTTTTGAGTCATTTAATGTTATATAGGCAACTACCAATTTCTTTCCACAATTTTATAATAATCGGTCTTTTCTACTTAATGTTTTTCTACATAATTTAATATGATATAAAAAGACAAATTTATAGAATAAAGGCTCTGGAATAAAAATGTCCCTGAAGAAAATAGTTTCTCACTTCTTACATTGTTGCATACTCACTCTCTCCTCAAAAATTAGAAGAGGGGTAAAAAGCTTAAGTGATATGCTGAAGGCCTTGTGAGTTTTTGTGTAGAAGAGTTAGGTCTAACATTCACACATCATGATTTTCAGTGCAATGACTTATATTCTCATTTATTTCATCTTTGATTTTGTACCTTTGATGCACAATATTAGAAATATTAACTGTCTGGAAAAATTTTGGAGGATGTATCAATAGTAATCATTTTTTAGAGTTACAGTTCAATAATTCAAAAAGAAAAATAATATTTGAAATTACATCAATAAGATATACATAATATCCTCCTTAATTCCTTTGTAATTATCAAGATTAAAATATTGCCACTCTAAAATATGACTACTTTCAATGATTTTTTCTGTGTTTAAATTATTTGCAATTTTTTTTTAATCTACTGAGGGTGAATTAGGAAACAGTCACCAAGATGATTCCTTTTCTGACACCCTAGCAAGTTTGAGAAGTTCCCACTCCACCTCAGTTTTGGTAATTTTCTAGAAAGACTCACAGAATTCACTAAAAGTTGCTATATTCACAGTTACAGTTTGTTACAATGGAAGTAGACAGATCAAAATCAGCCAAAGACAAGGTATGTGGGGCAGAATCCAAGAGAATTTCAAAAATGAAACATCCAGGTTTGCTTTTTCTTATAGTCATGGACACTATTAACTTCTCCTAGCAATGAACATTTATAGGGCATTGTCAACCAAAGACACCCTCTCAAGACTTGGTGTCCAGGGTCTTTACGGGGCTCTGTCACACAGACATGATCCCCTGCCCACATGATCCACCCTAGTCCCCAGATCCTCTGAAGGTATTAAGCTGATACCCGGCCACTCAAAGCCCTAGATTATATGGCATGGCCCAAGAACAAAGACACTCTTATCAGGCAGAACATTTCCAGAGCTTAGCAATCACTTCCCAGGAGCTGAGGGCAAAGGCCAGACCACCCTCTGGGCAAGGTTAAATTCTTTACTATATGCTGAGAAATGTATTTGCTATTTTCTCTTACAGGAAAAAATACTTATAAGATTATTTCTAAATTAAAGGACCATAGAAACCTGAAAATGCTAAAATAAATGTATGATCAGGAATAAACAGAGAGGTTACTAAAATGAATTGTGTATCTTTAATTAATTGACCAGATACAATAGGTTTTTGTGTCTTCTTGGAATGTTGTAACAGAAAATCAAGGATGATCAAAGTAAGGAATAAAATACATCAAGGGAAGGTATAAAATTGAAAAACAACAACAACAACAACAAAAATCACTGAAACTAAGCTCCTAAAACATCAGAGTGTATACAGACAGTTGACAAATAGTGAAACTTTAGTCTGAATATTGGTAAATTTATTTAATTAAGTCAATTGTTTTCCTCCCCAGTCAAGAATAAGATGTTACATTACCAAAATAGAACACATTTCTTAAGTACCTGATGTCTAAAACTAGACATATGTGTATATACATACATGTCTAGACATATTTCTATTGGTGTGCATGTGTATGTGTGTGTGTGTAGTGTGTGTGTGTATTGTGTGTGTGTAGTGTGTGTGTAGTGTGTGTGTGTAGTGTGTGTGTAGTGTGTGTAGTGTGTGTGTAGTGTGTGTAGTGTGTGTGTGTAGTGTGTGTAGTGTGTGTGTATTGTGTGTGTGGTGTGTGTGTGTAGTGTGTGTGTATTGTGTGTGTGTATTGTGTGTGTAGTGTGTGTAGTGTGTGTGTAGTGTGTGTAGTGTGTGTGTGTAGTGTGTGTATATTGTGTGTGTGTGGTGTGTGTGTGTATTGTGTGTGTGTGTGTGTGTGTGTGTGTGTGTGTGTGTAGTCAGCCCTTGATGTCCCTGGGTTCTATATTTATGGATTCAACAAACTATTTATTAACAATATTCAAAAAAAATGAATAGTTGTGCCTGTACTGAACACATACAAGTTTTTTCCTTGTCATAGTTATTCCGTAAACAATATGGTATAACAACTATTTATATAGCATTTAAATTGTATTAGGTATTAACAGTAACCTATATGTGATTTCAAATATATGGGAAGATGTGTATAGCTTATATAAAATATAATATCATTTCACATAAGGGACCTGAGCATCTATGGATTCTTGTATCTGAGGGGGGTTCTGAAACCAATCCCCCACTGTATATATGTATGTACACATGTTTACATGTATATATGTATATACATCTGTAAGTGTGTATGTGGTATGCTATAGAAAGAACATTATACTGTACTCTTCCGTATTATACTATAGACACAACAGAGAGATAATAAAATAATTTTGTGGAAGTTATCACTTGTATACATTTATCACCTCTGCTAACTTTCTTTCTATTCCTCAAAGTAAGTTCCTTCCTGCTTAATGCCTTTCTCAGTGTTTCTCCCATTTTCTTGGAAACTTCCTAATTCCATACACTGTTTTATCGAGTTAGCTCTTGAAGTTAGAAATAAAATTGCTTCAGGAAAGCCCTGCCTATTCCTCAAATGTAAGTCAGATAATTTTGTTACAACCTGCTCCTATGCACATTCACAAAGGCTGTCCTGAAATATATGTAAATAAACATCTATTTGTAAATATACACATACTTATATATGTCTATATAGACACATGTAGAAATATGTCTATATAGACATGCATATTTATATGTGTGTGTCTACCATTTCTCAACCGGCACTATGCTTTAGCTTTTCAGTCCTCATTGAATATAATCATTGAAAAATGATTGATATATTTTTTTCAGATAAAACCCACAAGGACAGAACTATATTAATCTTGATCATTTTCTATGTGTCAAATAGCACAGCGGCTAGTCCATGATAGACTTTGAATTAATGTTTGTTAATATTAATATTTGTTGAAAGAATAAGTATATATTATACATTAAAGTTGTAAAAGACAATGGTAAATCAATTATGAACCTAGAGAGCTAATACCTAGGTATATACTAGAAAAACCAAGAGTCAAGTATCAGAGAGGACAATTATGGACTCATTCAATATCAGTAGTCACATAAGAAAAAAATTCAGGTAAGATGTCACTGGTTTTAGACTATGTGAGTTTATGCGATCTCTTAAAATAATAAACATAATTAAAAAGGTATTGTTACAGAAGTATAAGCACCAAAGCTAAAATGCAATAGATTTAAGCTATGGTCGTTCAGCACCCAACTCGGCCTTCTAGATTGGCTTTGTGATGGTAGAACTGGGATCCTGAACACCACAAATTTGCCCACGCGGGGCCTTGAAAGGAGGTTGTGTGGCTGGGAGAGGAAAGGGAGCTTGCTTCTTCCTGTCTGCTCACTGGGGGCTTCTCCTGGGCTTGTAATTCCTGTGAGCCTCACTCCAATAGGGTCTTCTCACACCTTCAGCAGGTGACTCATTTTGTGGCAGAAGCTGAATCCATTTACCAGTTTTTCCCAAATGTGCCCCACCAGCTTCATGGCAGCTGCCTCTCAGGAGCCATCTAAACAGTGCTGCCTTCCTCAGGACCCTTCCCAAACTCAGATACACCAGTACCAGCTGAACTGGCGTTCCTTCCTCAGGGGTCTTACTTTAGTCTCTGCAGAGATCTGAGTAACTTCCTACGTTTTTAAGATTTAATATTTCCAGAATCTTCCTTCAGCCCTAGGAATGACAGTTGCTTCCCGCAGCAATAATTTCCAAGCTACATCAGTTTTTTGTTTATCCTTTAGTAACACTTTTATACATTGGGGTAAGATTTTTTTATATCAAATTCTCTCCTTCCAATAACTTGATAGATATGGTTGCCTGACTGGACTCTAATTGATACAGATAGGAATATGCATTGAGAAAATAAGTAGCGAGAGAAGATAATTTGATAGAAGTGACTGCAATAAAGAGAAGAGAGACAGATGTGGCTTTAAAGAATTGATGCAAGGCGTACAAAAGATCTGAGGATATTCTGGGACAGAAAGGAAATGCGAGTGGAATGAGAAAGCTTGAAAACGGGTGAAATAGAGGAGTGAATGAGACTGGCGGCCCCAGAGGCAATAGAAGTCATTTATTCTAATGGATAACGGCGATGTGATTAGTCTGAAAACAGTCTTCACTAGAACACTGGAATCTTCCCTAGAAACAGAAGAAAAAAAGGGCAGGTAAAAGACAGTTTAATGATACAGGAAGATTTTTCAGGGAAGAAAACAACTTAGGTATAAAAGAGGAGGAGATTGAAGAATTAAATTCTTACTGAAGAAGAAGGTTTTGAACATCTGGCAAATAAATAAATGTAAGAAATTTTTAAAAAGGTAAACACTGAGACTGCTTGCTGTGTAGGTTTTCATGGTCATTAATAAACAATTTATATAATATTTAGTTTGAGTTGTATGAGTGAGAGCACTTTTGGTTTCAAGTAACAGAGGCCCAATTTGAATTTAATGGATATATATCAGGGTAGCTTTCATGAGAACTTATGATTCAGGGAAACTCACATTTTCTCTGTGGTGAAACGTGGAGTTTGAACAGCAACCCAGACACCATCGGCCTTCATACTCGCTATGATCATTTATTCATGCTTCCCCGTGGCCACTGATGCCATTTATTCTTCCTCTGTGAGAATTTTGTTCATCCAGCAGGAAACATGGCCAAAGGAAGCTTCAGGCTCATATGGTTGATCCAGATAGAAAAGACACATGTATTTCAAGCTGTGTGTGGTGGCTTACACCTGTAATCGCAGCACTTTGGGAGACCGAGGCGGGTGGAACTCCTGAGGTCAGGAGTTCAAGACCAGCCTGGCCAACATGGCAAAACCCTATCTCTAATAAAAATCCAAAAATTAGCCAGGTGTGGTGGTGCACGCCGGTAATCCCAGCTACTCAGGGGGCTGAGGCAGGAAAATTGCTTGAACTCAGGAGGCGGAGGTTGCAGTGAGCCAAGATCGTGCCATTGCACTCCAGCCTGGGCAACAGAGCAAGACTCTGTCTCAGAAAAAAAAAAAAAGACACATGAATTTCAATCTAAGTAAAAGATGCCATGCAGCCTGATGATTGCCATCAGCAATCAAGTCTAGTGATGGCCCAGTGTGGGTCAATAGCCCACAATGTGGACACTCAGGGAACTGGCAATTCCCATTCAAAACGTGCATTGGTGTTGTATTAGTTTTCAATTGCTGTGTAACAGATGAGCATGAACTTAGTGCTTAAAACAACACAAATTCACCATCTCACACTCTCTATAGGTCTGAAGTCCAAAATTGGGATAACTAGGAACTGGGTTCTCTGCTCAGGGTCTCACAAAACTGAAAGCAAAGTACCAGCCATGGCTGAGTTCAAGTGGAGCTCAGCATATTCTTCCAATCCACCAGTCCACTGGCCCCTTCCCCAGCATCCAGTTCTTTTTAGGTGTAGGAATGAAATTCCTGTCTTCTTTCTGGCTGTCAGCAAAGAATTTCTTCCCACTTGTAGAGGCTGGCACTAGGCCCTGGCTATGTATCTCCTCCATGGGCAGTTAATAACATGGCTATTTGTTTATGTTCGGGCTAGCAGAAAAGGATCTCAATGATGCTTCATCTTCTTTTCAGGAGCTCACCTGATTCTTTTAATGGAGCTCAGATCCATTCAGGATAATCTCCCTTTTGAGTAACTCAAAGCCAACTGTTTAGGGATCTTACTTATGTCTCTAAAAAAAACCCTTTTCGCATATTATATAACATACAAATTGGGGTGTTATTTCTTCATTTTCACTGGTGCTCCTCACACTCAGGAGAGGACATACAGACCTTGTCCATGAGGGATGGAGACACTGGGGGCTGTCCTAGTTTATTCACGTTGGTATAAGAAAATACCATAAATTGAGTAACTTATAAACAACAGCAATCTATTTCTTGCAGTTCTCAAGGCTGAGAAGTCCAAGATCAAGACACCAGCAGACGTGATATCTCATAGATGGCACCTTTTCACTGTGTCCGCACATGGTGGAGCAGGCAAGGCAGTTCTTTGGGCTTTTTTTTTTTTTTTTTTTTTTTTTGAGATGGAGTTTCACTCTATTGCGAGGCTGGAGTGAAGTGGCATGATCTCGGCTCACTGCAACCTCCACCTCCCAGGTTCAAGTGATTCTCCTGCCTCAGCTTCCCGAATAGCTAGGACTACAGGTGTGTGCCACTACACCCAGTTAAATTTTGTATTTTTAGTAGAGATGGAGTTTCACCATGTTGGCCAGGATGGTCTCAATCTCTTGACCTCGTGATCCGCCCGCCTCGGCCTCCTGAAGTGTTGGGATGGTACTAATCCCATTCATGAGGCCTGCCCTCATGACCTAGTAAACCCCTAACAAAACCCACCTTGTAATATCATCAAATTAGTAATTAAGTTTTCAACATATAAATTTGTGAGGGGCATAATTGTTCAACCATAGCAGGGAAGAGTCATCTTAGTATTCTGCCTGCCACAGTCTACTTCCTGGACCCTGATAATTCATATCCCTCACACAAGCAAATGTTATTCACCCTCTCCAAGCATTACAAAGAGTCTCATTCTATTATATTATCAGCTGAAAGTCTAAATTTCTCATTATCTAAAGTAGGTGTGAATGAGGCTACTGTGTGTAATTCATTAAATACAGTTCTTGGGCACAATTCCTCCCTACCTGTGGACATGTGAACCTAAAGACGTAAGGTATCTCCCCCCAACACTCCTGACATACAGTAGAGGAGTAGGCATTGTATAATAGTTAAACACATTTGAGCTTGGAAAAGCAGGCAAAGCGGCCGGGCACAGTGGCTCATGCCTGTAATCCCAGCACTTTGGGAGGCCGAGGTGGGTGGATCAGCTGAGGTCAGGAGTTTGAGACCAGCCTGGCCAACATAGTGAAACCCCATCTCTACTAAAAATACAAAAAATTAGCCGGGCATGGTGGCAGGTGCCTGGAATCCCAGCTACTCAGGAGGCTGAGGCTGGAGAATCGCTTGTACCCGGGAGGCGGAGGTTGCGGTGAGCAGAGATCACGCCACGGCATTCCAGCCTGGGTGACAATAGCAAAACTGTGCACATGTACCTTAGAACTTAAAGTATAATAAATAAATAAATATATATAAAATAATAAAAAAGAAAACAAAAAGAAAAACAAAAAAAAAAAAAAGAAAGAAAAAGAAAAAGCAGGCAAAGGAAGACGAGAAAGAGTGATTAGTCCAAACTAGTTCTGAAATCCACACAGGAAAACAGCTTTAGAATTTTTTATTAGGTTTCAAGGACTGGGAGTAATCACCCATAGCTTTTGACTTCGTCCTCTAGGCTCTTGGATCCATTCTTCCTTTCTTTATTAAAGAAGCAGCATGTGTTTGCTGCTGAAGAGTTTCATTAGCCTTCTGTTGTTAGAATTTGGGGATCCAAGAGCCTACTTTAACTTCATCTTCTCTTAGTATTTTCAGTCTAAGCCAAGATTATTTCTGCTAAAACAATGTTCTCAAAAACTTTGTAGATCTTGTGTGAATTTCACTGGTTTCACTTCAGTAGTCAAAGGCATATCCCATAAGATTTTTGAGATAATTTATTCTCCATCTTTGGCTTCCACTGAGATGACTGAGGGACAATACACTAAAGTCTCATAAAGGGCCACTTGTTTGTTTGAGAGGATCTGTGAGGGATATCCTTAGTACCTTGCAAAGACCCTTTGTGTTATTGATTGTTTTGACCTTTGATTTGTTTGATGTTTTAGCAAAGGTCATACAGTGACACAACAGCTTCTTCTCCATGCCAAGTTTCTGGCAGCCATATGAGAATTTTAGAATCTTTCACCCTCCAGAAAGCTTGAAAATTTCAAAATCATCTATTCCTTGTCCCTCTTTGTTTAACATTTCTTCCCTCAATTTCTCTCTCTCTTCATGATTTTATTATAAGTAGCAAGAGGAAACCAGGCAGCACCCTTAACACTATGATTGGAAATGTCCCTACCTAAGTTCATCACTTCAAAATTCTGCTATCAACATCGTATAGTTTCACCAGGGCTTCTGCCACTGTATGAGAAGGACGTCCTTTCCTTTGGGTTGCAGATTCTGCTTTTAGCTCTCGTAAGCATCATCCTTAAAATCCTAATTTCTATTAGCAGTTTGTTCAAGACAATTTAGATTTTATCTTAGTATGCTACTCAAAATTATTGCAGCCGTCACTCACTGCCCGATTTAAAAGCTGTTCCCAAATTTTAAGTGATCCCAAATTTTGGTATCAACACCACTCCACTTCTAAGTACCAAAACACACACTGGTGTTCTTTTGATGTTATAATGAATTACTGAAAATGTAACAGTTTAAAATAACACAAAATTATTATCTCATGGCTTCTGTAGATCAGAAAGTCCAGGGGTAGCATAATTGGGTTGTCTTTCTAGGACCTCATAAAATTGAAATTAAAGGGTCAGCTGAGGCTCTTTTCTCATCTGGAGATCAGAGTTCTCATCTGATTTCATTTAGATGGTTGGCAGAATTCAGTGTCTTGTGTTTGTAGGACTAAGATCCCTATTTTCTTGATGAGTTTTGGCCAGCGGTCCCCTCAGAGGCTTCTAGATGCTTCCTCCAGGTCATAGTCATGTGGCCTCCAGTGTAGACAGTTTACAAAGTACATGGCTATTTGGTTTAGGCCTGCCAGAAAGAATCTCGATGATACTTCACCGTCTGTATTAGCCCATTCTCACACTGCTGTAGTATTCATACTACCTGAAATATGATAGTTTATAAAGAAAGGAGGTTTAATGGACTCAGAGTCCTGCCTAGCTGGGAAGGCCTCAGGAAACAATCATAGCGGAAGGCAAACGGGGAGCAAGGCGTGTGTCACATGGCTGCAGGAGAGAGTGTAAGCAAGGAAGTGTCACCACTTCCTTGATGTCACTCAGATCTCATTAGAACTTGCTCCCTATCAGAAAAACAGCATGAGAAAAACTGCCCGCATGATCCAATTACCTCCTACCAGGTCCTTCCCTCAACATGGGGATTACAATTCAAGAGATTTGGGTGGGGACCCAGAGCCAAACCATATCACTGTGTTCTGAATATCTCACATGGTTATGTCAGGGCCACCCTCAAAGTTAAGTGGTTAGCAACCTATTATGGAAGTGATATCCCATCATACTCAATGGTCTCAGCCACACTGAAGAGGAGGGAATTATATAGGGTGTGTGTGCTGTGGATGGAAGTCATGGGGACCATCTCAGATTTCTTCTTACTGCAGGTGGAGACAGTAGCACTTATTAACATTCTCCCTTTGCAGTGCATCACTCTGCCTTAGGTAGGAATTTTGCTTTAAAGCCAGTACTATGGATATCTTTTAAGTGTCTGTTTCCAAACACAGTAAATTTCAAATAACCAAATGGCACTATCCAGCTTATTAGTCAAGGCTAAAAAAATGTCATTCCTAATTTGCCTCTTTTTCTCACACCTACTGTGTAATCCATTAGCAGGTCCTATCTTCATCCTTTAACCTAACCAGCATCATCTGCCCTGACCCCTGCAATAGCAGGGAAGGTCTTCCACTTCTGTTCTGGACTCCTTATGATCTACTACTCTCCATATTGCATCTTCTAAAAATGTCAGATATATCTTCCAATATAATCAGATAATGTAAATAAAATACATATTAAAAAAAAAATTTCCAGCCAGGCTCATGCTTGTAATCCCAGTACTTTGGGAGGCCAAGGTGGGTGGATAACTTAAGGTCAGGAGTTTGAGACCAGCCTGGCTAACATGGTGAAACCCTGTTTCTACTGAAAATACAAAAATTAGATGGGCATGGTGGCAAGTGCCTGTAATTTCAGCTACTTGGGAGGCTGAGGCAGGAGAATCCCTCGAACCCAGGAGGCAGAGTTTGCAGTGAGCTGAGATCGCTCCACTGCACTCCAGGCTGGGTGACAGAGAGAGACTCTGTGTCAAAACACAAACAAACAAAAAACTTTTCTGATAACTACCTATTAAATTCAGAATAAAATCCAAACTGTTTACCATGGTTCACAAGTTTCTACTGTCTGGTCTTTGCCTACTTCGTCCCTAACATCAACTTTTTGTTACCCTCCCTACTTAACTCTTTTACTCACTTCCAGCCACATTTTCCATTTATGCATTAGGATGATTACATATCTTTATCTTTACATATGAGACTTACAGCCTTGTTCTTGATATGACTATTTCATCATCATTCTGGTGCATTCTCTGACTACTCTACCTAAATTGCAATATCTCATTCACACTCTTTCCTATCAAACTGATTAGCATTTATTTATCTTGTCCTTTTAAAAAAATAATTATTTACTACATCTTCCTAACCTATGTCCTCATGTTTGGAAGTCATCTCTGTTCCCACAGAAGGACACAGTTCACTCCTGCACTATGATGTTTCACTCCACATCAAGAAGTAAGTGTTTGCTTCCAATCTGGTTCTCAAGACTTCACTACATGGACAGTCCTGCTAGCATAAGTCATACCATAGTTTCCTTTGAGGGGAAGTGGGGAATGATGGAAGTGATGCTGTATAATAGGAATACTGTATTGGTCCATTCTCACACTGCTATAAAAATACTGCCCAAGACTGGGTAATTTATAAAATAAAGAGTTTTAATTGACTCATAGTTCCACTTCGGTGAGGAGGCCTCAGGAAACTCACAATCACGGCACAAGGCAAAGGGGAAGCAAGCTTACACCTTCTCACATGGTGGCAGGAGAGAGAAAAGTAGTGAAGGAAGAACTTGCCAAACACTTATAAAACCATCAGATCTTGTGATAACTCACTGTCATGAGAACAGCATGAGGGAAACCATCCCCATGATCCAGTTATCTCCCAACAGGCTCCTTCCTCAACTCCTGAAGATTTCGGGGATTATAATTCAAGATAAGATTTGGGTGGGGTCACAAAGCCTAACCATATCAAATATAAACTTAAAAAAATTAGGTAACAAATATTAATGCAACATTTGTTTAAGATCCAAACTGAGTGTATGTGCATGTGAAGTTTGTTTAATTCCCTCTGTTATTTGTATGACTTTTTGATCCATAAATACTTTTATTCACAGTTTATTACTGAATGTCAAACTTCATTTAATTTTGAGTCATGTTACATATAATCAAATGCACCTATCATATTTACATACTAAAATTACTTTGAATTTGAGATAGCTTTAAATTTTATATAGTAAATGTTTAATCTTCTAAGCTCAGTAAAAATGTTTACTAATTTTTAAGGGCAAATATGTTTAAAGGAATAAGCAAGGAAATTTGCATTTCTTTAAACATTTATTGCAAGGTAAATTTCTATGCAAATAGGTAATAAAATAGCTGATCCATGTTCCATGAAGCATTATGTTATTTACTTAGACATTTTAAAATGCATTTATGGAGATGCAGTAGGTATATGGAGGTGTGTGTGGGCATACATGCACATAAATATATAAATATGTCACAGTGATTTCAAACAATCTGATTTCAAGCCCTATTTTTGAGTACTAGTCATGGAGTTCACTAGTTGTGTTGCTTTTAGAAAGTTACTTTTCCTCTCTAGATTTGTTTTCTTATCTGTAAAATGGACATAATAACATCAAAACACAGAATTTTGTAAAGGTACAACTTATATGGAAGTCCCTTGCTGGTGCTGCTCACATAATAAGCCTAGAGTAAGCAAATAATAAGAAATATAATTATAGTAAATTAATGGTTTGGAGATTATTAGTTTTCTATTAATGTCATAAGAAATTATCACAAATTTTAAACACCTTAACATAACACAAATTCATTATCTTATAGTTCTGTATTTCAGAATCCCAGCACAGGTATTACTGGGCTAACATTTAGGTGCTGGCAAGGTAAAGTTACTTTCTGGTAGCTGTAGGGGAGAATCTGTTTTTTTGTTTTTGTTTTCTTATCTGCATTTTTGGCAGAATTCAGTTCCTTGCAACTACAGGACTGAAGTCTCTGTTTCCTTGTTCACTGTCAGCTGAGGTTTGCTCTCAAATTTTAGACGCTGCCCACCCTTCTCAGCTCATGGCCCTTTGCTCCATCTTCGGAACCAGCACCAGAAGGCTGGATCTCTCTCATGCTTTGAATCTTTCCTGTCTCTTCTCTCACATGCTCTGCCCCACGCTACTGTCTTCCTCTTCTACTTGGAAAAGCCTGAATTGGACCTCATTAGGTCCATCTGGATAACCCAGAATATTTTGCCTATTTTAAGGTATGCCACCTCAATTTTATGTGCAAGATTCCTTTTGTTATTTGAGGTAACATATTCTCAGGTTTGGGGGATTAAATGTTGACATCTTTAAAGGATATTATTCTACCTGTCGCAGGCACCATTCTGAAAAAGCTGCTGCACTTCTCAAAAGAAGACATTGATGCAGACAGGAAACATGAAAAAAAGCTCATCATCACTGGTCATTAGAGAAATGCAAATCAAAACCACAATAAGATACCATCTCACTTCAGTTAGAATGACGATCATTAAACAGTCAGGAAACAACAGATACTGAAGAGAATGTGGAGAAAGAGGAACGCTTTTACACTGTTGGTGGGAGTGTAAATTAGTTCAACCATTGTGGAAGACAGTGTGGCAATTCCTCAAGGATCTAGAACCAGAAATACCATTTGACCCAGCAATCCCATTACTGGGTGTATACCCAAATGATTATATATCATTCTACTATAAAAACACATGTACATGTATGTTTATTGCAGCACTGTTCACAATGATAGACTGGATAAAGAAAATGTGGCATGTATACACGATGGAATACTCTGCAGCCATAAAAAGGATGAGTTCATGTCCTTTGCAGGGATATGGATGAAGCTGGAAACCATCATTCTCAGCAAACTAACACAGGAACAGAAAACCAAACACCGCATGTTCTCACTGATAAGTGGGAGTTGAACAACGAGAACACATGTACACAGAGGAGAATATCATCCACCGGGGCATGTCAGGGGGTGGGGGGCTAGGGGAGGGATAGCATTAGGAGAAATACATAATGTAGATGACGGGTTGATGAGTGCAGCAAACCACCATGGCACGTGAATACCTGTGTAACAAACCTTCATGTTCTGCACATGTATCCCAGAACTTAAAGTATAATAATAATAAAAAAGCTGCTGCACACCTTCATATATAGAATCCACTTAAAATATCAATTTAAATTATTTTCTTACTCTCTATACCCATAAGCATATATATTTCACTAACTTGAAATTCACTTTCATAAAATCAAATATGTATGTAGAAATCACTTAAGAGTGACGGCATCAACACTAAGCAATGAAAAAGATATAATTTAGTATCAGAATACATACACAGGCAGACTCTCTCACACACACATATATATGCATATATTTATAAACTTCCATTTATGCCTAAAATTAATATCCAGGTCTAATTGCAATGTGATTCTTATGTTAACTCTTTGGGCCTCACTTGGGAATTCTGAATGTGATCAAAGGACACATCACAGTTCTATTTGCAGCTGATGTTTATATTTCTCTTTTGTTTCCTAATCCTAAATTTTGAAGCATGTATTTGTCTCAAAACAATGTCCTTATCAGAAATCACTTCCTTTTCAAAGTTAATTATTTTTTACCGAGATTTCTCAATTTATTTGCCTATAGTTATAAGAATATCTGGTGCTATATATGGGTTCTTCATTATCTGAATTTCTGAAGTTCTGTTTATATACTTTTTTCCCACTATTATCTGCTCCACAATCTCATCCCATCTGGAAATTTAAAGAGGAATGTTTTTCTGTTCCAAATTTGATAAAATTATGCCTGTCACAACTGCCTTTGACCGCAAAAGAACAATTTCATCTTTGTGCTCCAAAGCTAGGAGCAGAGTTATAAAGACTGACCTAGTTTTGTCAGAGAGAAAGCAACTTCTAGACTGACTCATACCTAGAAAGTATTTCCCAAGATACAGCAAACATTTATTCCATGTATAATTGCTTTGTCCCAGAATCAAACACCCCTGCTGACTGTAGCCATCTCAGTAATGCTGTTTAACTCTCCCATGCACACTTCTGTGGACCTTTGTCCAACATGGTTCTGTATTTTCACAAATGTAATTCTAGTCTAAAGAAGTATGCAATTTTCCATTTAACCCTATATGGCAACTTTCAGTAGCTAGTGATTAGCTGGTGATTTAGTTATCAATGACAAAATAACATTATAGGTTTTTAAAAATGACTGTTCACTATGCATAAAATAGATTTCATTGCTTAAAGGATAGAGTACCTAAATTCACTTAAAGTATCAATATAGTATTTATTCATTTTAGTTACTTATGGATCTATGATTAGATTCATACTTGTCTTCCCCGTTTTCATTTGTAAGTTCCGCAATTGATATAAGCATTAAAAAATACTGAAAAAGCCTCTCTTAATCTCCTATTCTATTCCTTGGATTTGACAGTTTCTATTCTCACTTCTTCTAATGGTCACCTCTGTAATTGTAAGTAGTATGTTTGTATACATTTATCATTTATGTATTCTATTTATCAACATAAACCCTATTGTTTTACTTTCTGCTGTGAGAGAGAAGATAGGTGTGTAATTTACACAATCTTGTCTTTCTACCTTCCCATTCCCTTCTTTTTTTTTTTTAGATTTATCTTTGTTTTTTATTTACTTTTTTCACTCTTATAAATCTGAATACTATGTTCAAATGTAATCTTGATCCACCAGATTTAGATAATATATCTTTGCTCATTAGATGAAATTCTAAAACGTGTACAACTATTTCTCTGTACATTTCCTTCCCTCTTCCTCTCAGTTTGACAACTACATTGTTTCTTTTACCATGTCAACATTTATAACATTTACCTTTCTTTATATAGCTATAATTATTTCATGCTGTTTTTGGTTGACTCTGAAAAATAAAATGTCATAAACACTTTCTATTATAATACAGTGATGTAAATATAACCTTTTAAACAGGGATATTATTGAATTTGTATGGGATATGAAATCTACTTTCTCTAAAACTTACTCCTTTGAAGGAAGTTGGTCCAACACCCAAGACTAATTGGAATCACTTTTTGAATACTACATTAACTGAATAAAGTCACGTTACCTTCTAGTTTAATTCATATTTGGACCATAAGTTACATGACTATATTTTTTTCTAAAATTTTTCATTTCTATTGTCAATCAAAAAGTGTAAATCTTTCTTTACTACATCTCTTATGTCATAAAATCTCTTAATTCTGCTAATTATTAACCATTGATTATTAGATTGATTGTACCAGTCTGTTGTAAAATGTGATCTCAACATTTATTTTCAAAGCCCTGCTGGGTGAGATCCATTGTTTCTTCAATCTCGTAGCACATAATTTCCTTCATTTTGGGTTTTTTTTTCCATTAAGCTTGCATTCCCCCCCACCGTGAATGCAGATTTTACTTTTATAAAACTAGCTTTTTTGCATGATATTTAAATGAACACTGGAGAGAATTAGCTGGACAGAATTTTTTAAATGCTCATCTATATTCCTCTAGGTTTTTAGTACTGATGTTGAAAATTTTGACAACAATAAAATTTAGCTTTGAGACTAGTATCCTTATTTTTAGCGGTCTGATGTGTGATTGAGCTGGATGGGTGACATGCACCTGTAGTCATAGCTTCTTGAGATGCTGAGGCAGGAGGATCCCTTGAGCACAGACATTTGAGTCACTGAGTCCAGCCTGGGCAACATAATGAGACCCCTTCCCTGAAAAAATGAAAACGAAAGGGTGTGAATTAATGTGTTGATGTGCGCCACCTCTATTTGAAATGCATTTTAAATGTAAATTAATCTTCTGTATTGATCCTTTGTGTTTTATAGTATTCTAACATACTTTATATTTTTGCCTATCATTCCATGATATCTATATTTCAATTCTGTCTCTACATTATTCTATTTAATAATAATAACAATAATAACAATAATATTATTAATTATTATTTAATAATAATTATTAATTAGAGTAAATATGGTATCTATTTACAAGTCTTATTTCTTATTCGCTAACTCCTCTTCTTAAACATGGAGTATCTCTGGGGATACTTGTATATAGAACTTTGCATTTGTGTATTTTCATATTTCCTCTGAGATTCAATTTCTAGTATGGCCATTTTTTTTCCTTTTGTGCTTTAGGTTTTCCTTGGCATCTGATTGGGTCCTTTCTGGGCTCATCACTATTGAGAAAGGAAGACTGTTAATAGAAAAGATGGTTGTAATCGTGGAAACTATAGTTAATAGCAATATATTGTGTACTTCAAAATTGCTAACAAAGTAAATAAGTGTTCTCACCACAAACAAGGTATGTGAAATTATGCACATGTCACATATTTCAAAACATCATGTTGTACAATTGTATAACTATATACAGTTTTCATTTGTCAATTAAAAATGTTTAAATGAAGTTGGCTGCTTGGCCTTCCCATGTTGTGACCACACTTCTCTCTGTATTGTGGTGATGTTAGCAGTATGCTCTATCTATGGAGGAGTTGTGTGTGGACATGTGGTTTCACTTGATCTTGTGTAGGCTGTGATCAGGCTAATGAGTCCCTTCTCTAGGGGACTGGCTCTGGCGTTCTTACCTCCACCTGGAAGGTGATCACTCATCCTCTTCAGACAATTCTTCCATCTGGGAACAAAAAACATAGAAGCCAGGGTGAGGGGTGAGATCAGCCAGTCATCTATTATTATGCAAATGGGGATTCCATGGATTGCCCTTGTGTCCGCCACATCTCCCACACCTGTAGGAGACTGAGCAACTTGACCCCAGGACTACCGTTTGGTTCCTCAGAGCTGAAGCCCCTTGCCTAGACATTCGCCCTAGTCATGCCCCAACTGTATTGAGTCTAGCCCTGCCTAATGGTCGCTGTTGTTCCTCTGACTCATAGAGCAGCACATGGAAATTTAGAGTACAAGGATGACCAGCATGAAGATTTATGGTCTTTTTGAAATTATATTTTAAATTTTGTTTAAATATTTTTATTCAGAAAAATTTCACACTTAAAATATGCAAAATTCTCTCCTTTTCCCAGTAGTTGGAAATATAATTGCATCAAATCTCCCCTCTCCCAGCTATAGACCCTGGACCTAGACTGTGCTGCAACATTGGATGGTCAGGTAACTCATTTAAATAGAGTAACGGGCCTGAACAGAATCAGTCTTTTGAGAGTGTTAGCATCGCAACCAAAAGCAAGTTATAAATTTGGTAATTAACAGCAATTACTTGAGAAGGTCTTTTCCCCACCTTCCCAAATCATTTAACCCTTAATAGCTAGCTCTTCAAACCTCACTCTCATATAAAGTCTTGAAACTTGTTTGCATATCTTGCTAGCGCTTCTCTTAGCTCCTCTCACTCAAAGGCTCCCCCTTATCTTCTTTGTTATAAAGCTAGCCCCACCTATACCCTCCTCACTTCCCCAAACTCAGATTCTGTCTCCATCTTTTCAGTCTCATAATTTTTTATCACAAAATGTTGAACATCTTTCTCACCTCAAAGCAAGCAAAGTAAAAGCTCCTCTTAGATGTCAAGGAAGGAGGGGGAAGGAAGACAATTCACACATTAATATACTGTACAAGAAGAACACAGACAAGCTGCAATGACCAAGATAGCCATCACCACATGGCACTCTTTTTCCTCTAAGTCTTTATTCATTAGTTATATTCAAGAAATCAAATTCATAGTCAAGGTGTATTTGCTCATCAACTGAATCAGCCTCAGGAAATTATGCAGGAGAGAGCCATCTCTCTCTCTCTCTCGGGTTAATTATAATGCGGCAGGGTCCAGTTGCACACACTAGGACCTCTGTGTTCTTAAATTTATATTTCTACCAATAGCATATTTTCCTGTTTCAGCAGCACAATAGGTTGAAAAAAAGAGAAGGATAGCTCACATAAAGGGTGGTGAATGGTATTTCTCAGTCTCTTTTTTCTACTCACTATTTTAAAACACCCAGGACCATTCTACTACTTTCCCCAAAAATCTCCTAAGCAGATTCCTAAAACAGTACATTCAGCTCTACTTGTACTTGCTGCCCATAGAACACCGTGAACGTGCATTACAACCCTTATGTGTGTGTTTCATCAAGCCACTATGATAACTGTGGTCATGTTTTGTTGAGAATTGCTGTGAACATACCACTAAGATTGGTGTCACTCATCAGCACTAAAAGGCCAGTGGGATGCTATTACCATTGTGATGTGCACATCGATAGTGCTGTTGCTATTTTCGTTTGACACATGTGTTCCCTGGATGCCACATTACTATCCAGTGCATTCACTGCAATGTAATAGAGAACATCCATTCACCAAATGAGCAGTTCCAAAATTGCGATATTTTTGTGTCCATAAAGAGCAGTTCTTTGCTTGGTTCTGTGTTATGCATATATATATGTATATCAAATTATATATATTTATAGTGAATTATATATATATTTACAACAAATTATATATATAACAAATTTATTGTTAATTTTTCTTTTTTTCCTCTGGAGAATTAGGCATGAGATCATGAAAGACCAAAGGATGGACTGAATCTTAGTGTTACAAAGCTAAGTAACAGACACTATTGTACATTCTAGAATTGGTCCTCAAACAAAAAGCTCAGTTTTCTAAGGAGAGCTGTTGAGGGAGAGGTGAACCAGGCTACTGAACAGACAGCATGGTTTTAAGAAAGAACTGCCTTTCGAGTTCCCTGACTGGCATAGGAACTGAGCCCCTTACTGGTGTTGAAATGTCTTTGTAATGAACTTTCTGGATAGAAAGTGGCTAATGTTTCAAATGCCAACATTTTGTGACCTAATACTTTAAATTTTCATAATAGCTCAAGCCTTTCTCATTATACCTCAGGAAGCCCTTAGATTATGGCAATAGTTGTATTTATTGTTAGTCTCACTCTCTCTCTATTTTTTTTTTTTAGACAGAGTCTTGCTCTGTCGCCCAGGCTGGAATGCAGTGGCACAATCTGCATTCACTGCAACCTCCACCTTATGGGTTCAAGCAATTATCCTGCCTCAGCCCCCTGAGGAGCTGGGATTACAGGCAAGCCCTACTATGTCCAGCTACTTTTTGTATTTTTAGTAGAGACGGAGTTTCATCATGTTGGCCAGGCCAGGCTGGTTTTGAAGCCCTGACCACAAGTGATCAGCCCGCCTTGGGCTCCCAAAGTGCTGGGATTACAGGCATGAACCACTGTGCCTGCCTAGTCTCATTCTTTAATGTGTTTCATGAGAGAGCATTTCTCTGAGTTGTCCTAACTATATTAGTAAAAATTTGGTAGAAATTTGTGGGCTGCTGATTACATACTATGTCTCTATTTTTAATGTCCTCATTAAAAAAAGAAGAAAAAAAGAAGTTCTTGGCTTACATCAAAGGGGGCACATATCTTTCAATTCTGTGGGAGCTATTCTTCTCTTAAAGTGAAGTTCATATCTCTAGATGAGATCCTTTATAGTGAAGACTTTGCAAGGCCAGTCATGGCTTGTTCTTCTGATGATAATGTACAACTAAAATAAAGCAGCAGAGTATTTTCTACAAAGAAGTATTTCATGCTTTTATCGTTATATTTAAATTAAAAGTAGGAATATACCTAGGGCTAGAATCTATTATTCAAAAAGATCTGTCAAACAATACAAATTTTAAAAAGCAACGCCAGGTGTTAAAAATGACTTCCTGTGAGCAAAGTGTGAAGTTTATGACAAAGTTGATAGCAGTGATTCTACTTGATTTTAGGACTTTTTATATTTTGCCTATTGCATTTATGATTCTTTAGTAATAATACATTACAATTTGGTGTTATACTTTTTATTAATTTACTCTATTCAGATTTATTTTCTACAATGTTTATATTTTTTTCTACATTGTATCAATATCTTCCAAAACATACTCAGTTATATTAGACAGAATATATGTTAAGTAGTAAATATGTGAAGCTACTATGTTTCCTGTTAGCTATATTATATTGAGCAAAATAAATAGAAGTGAACATACAATACTTATGTAATGATTGATGGTTTCTATTAATAAGAATTGAGAAGGTTTTATAAAAATATCTGGCACAGTATCTGGAAAAGATTTGGTGCATAATAAATGCCCCTTCTCTTATCTTATGCCTTTATAATAAAAACAAGAAAGAATGTTAATCAGAGCAATAAAATTTTACACTAGGAAAGTAACCATTTCATCCAGTCACAGTTTTTAGCCTCAGTACACATAAAAATAAATCTTTATTTAGTTCATCTAACTGTAAAAAACCAGTACTCTATACTTAACACTTCTTGGACAAAATTTCTCATAATTTAAGAGAATGTAGTCTGTTTTCTGGACTAAAACCATAGGTAATAAATTGTGTAAATGTATAGAGTTTGAAATTATACACCAAGTTTTCTTGAGATAAGAATAAATTGAATAGAACCATGATAACCTATCATTTATATTCCTCTATTTACAACCTAAATATTCTATGCTACATTTGGTAGTTACACATTATTCCCTTACCAATACTCTTCACTCCATTTTAGTAGTTCTCCAAAACAAACTCAAGTGTAATAATAAGTTTGTTATTTGTACTTTACAGTTCAATAGCTGCAGAATCAAATAGGAATGATTTCTTGTTTTCTTAATGTAGATTTTAAGAATATATATAAATATTTTTGTTAAATTTAAGAGGATCATTTATTTGAATTGCATAAAGAAAAATACAATTTAAAAGTAAATTTTCTTGAACTAAATGATCAGTGTTTTTTCAAGCATGTAATGAAACTGCACCTCTGTCCTTATTTTATGATTAATACATAAGTTAGTTTTAAATATTTAAACAAAATATACACTTGCTTGTTTACGGACTAAACATTCAGTAGCTTTTTCTTAAGCCAAGGATATTTTGCAAGTAACACAGTAAAATGTATTAAAGAATTCAAATTTCAGATTGTGGAAGAAGATTCATTTGAATTCAATGAAAAAATTTTTGAATCTGTAAGGCAGATCATTCTCTTAAATTTTCTTTCTGACAAAATAGAAGAAAATCGCTTATGTTAAAGCAAAATTGATGCTTTAAACCTAGAAGTTTTAAATATAAAATAGTTTCATAATTTAACATTTGTAAATACTTAGGGGTATGCTGAAAGTAATTTAGCATGAAAACATCAACAGAATGTATTATTATTATTCACCTTTAAGACTGACAGAATAGAACAATATCAAAGATGGAAGTTGTATGATTTATAGTATTGTTCTCATCTGTGAAATCTCAAATGCATAATTTTATGAAAAGTATACATTGAGATATTTACAGTGTTTATTTTGACATTTTCTAATATACCATAATTAATGGATATATATAAAACAAAGTGATAGAAATTAATAGATAAATAAAATACGTAATGCTACTTAGCTGTTCTTTGTATCCTTTTCTAAAGAATTACCAGGGACATGTATCAAAATGAACCAGCACCTTAACTGCATTTTTTCGTACAGCATTAGATCAGAGGGATATTTTCTAAATAATACAAGTAGATTCATTAAATAGATTTTTATTGCCCCTTAAATCAAATTTAACTAGTCGAAATAATTCAGTTTATCCTCATACGACATACAAAAAGAATAAAAAAGATGTAGATTTTATAAGATAGGTCTATCTGTCTATCATCTATTTATCTGTATCTATAACATCAATTTAATCTCTCCAAGTGACTTTGAAAGCAAGCTACTTTTTTCTACGGAAATTATTTTTATCTATTTTTTCTCTCATTTGTAAACTGATGAGGGTAAATTATATTTCCTTAGACAGCTGAGATACTATAAGTCTAAAATTATAGCCATTTTAGTTATATGAGAAACACAATTACCCGTCCAAACACCAAGAATGGACTTAAAGGCACAAAGAACAGCAAAAGTGAGACTTTTTAATAATGGTCTTGCAAGAGCAGTGTCTGGTGGGCGGGCACACCCAGGGCAGTCACAATGAGTAATATATCTCCTAGCACACAAGTCCCTCCCCGAGTTCCTCATTGATCGAGTACTATGGGGTTACAATCTTCCCAGACATCGCCTAAGTTTCATTATCCCCCTTAGAAAGTTATACCCAAGTCCACTTCTGCTTAAGTTTCGATTTCCCAATGATGAAGCTTTCTTCCCTTTTGTGAGCTGACTCCTCCTCTACATTCTGTTCACTTACTGTGACCTAGGTGCATGAGCCCTGTGATTTGTTACATTTGCAGGCTGGCTGCCAGTACTTAAATTTACCATGCCTTGAAGTGGACCATTTAAAATGTTTTCTCACAAATTCCCTCCTCTTTTCTATTTACTTCTTTTGGTCTTATTTTCATCTAAACCCTTTTGGTCCTCGAATTGCTCTAGAAGTTTTTTACTTTCTTCCTCATAGGAGACTGAGTTTAATTTGATTTCAGATGGTAGCAGGTTATTCTGTCAGTAACTCATGGGCGTTTGTTTATTAATAGCTATTTCAATTAATCTCTGTGCTAGTCTCCTCACACAAGGGATAATATAACATCCCACTGCTGTTAGGACTCCTGCCACAATTATGAGAGATGTAAGAACTGAAGCTACCACGCCTTTCCATTTTCCAAACCAACCTTCTGGCCAACCCGTAAATGGGTCATCAATTCCAGCATTTTGTGTCATTTCATTGGCTAGAGTTGTCAGTCCTTGTAAAGCTTTTCTGATGGTCCCATCTGGGGCAGTATTGTTGGGAATAAAAGTACAACACTTCTCACCCAGCATAACATATAGGCCTCCTTTTTCTGATAGTATGTCTAGTGCAAGCCTGTTTTCCCAGGCCATTCAGCTGGTGGCATCTAGCTGGCTAGCCACCCCTTCGAGGGTGTCCAGAGTATAACTGATGAATCTCTGTTGATTATAATAGATGTAGTTAATCCAATCCACATCCTTATTAATAGTCGACCACCAGAAGAGTGCTGACTCAAACCCAGCAGCTATTTGGTTTCAGGCCTTAAATTCATTAGGTACCCACCTAGGGACTCCTATCGAGTCAACATATAGATTGGGATCACAATAATTTATTAAATCTCTCCGGTTTCAGTGGCCATGTGTATTTTCATGTATCTTGTGGAATGCCAGGGTTAAGGGAATGGCCAATTGGACTACAGACAAGTCCTGGTCCAATTGGACAGTAACAGGTTACAGCAGCTCCCTTTCCCACAGTACCACCAGACATCAGCCTGGGGTATATGGAGAGCTTGTAATTGCCATTGCTTGACTCACCAGTGACGTTTCGAATGTGGGTACAAGTTGAGATTTCTCCCATGGGCTTATTGAACTCTGCCCCCTGCCTAGAGAGGCAAGAGGAGTGGTTCATAGTCCCTATAGAGAACAAAAGGATTGTTCTGGGATCCAGACTTTGCAATGCAGAAAGAACAATGACAGACTCTTACAAGTCTCATTTCCCCATTCATCCTTGTTCTGGTATAGAGCCAACATGCAGTGTGTTCCTTTAGGATTGGGATTCCATCCTAGGGGAAATGGAACCGCCTCTGCCTGAGGTTGTCCCGCAGCACACATGTAGCAGTTACTCTTGTTGAGAGCTTGTACCGAAAATTTGATCCATTCAACCCAGACATTCACATCCCCATACCTTGTTTCAATTTTTAAGGTTTGCCTTAAATCCTTTATCTCAATTATTTTTACCTTTTTAAGGTTATTATTTGGTAGATTAAGTGTTTATTAGGGCCTGGAGTTGGAGTAGTCCCAGGCAAATAGGAGGCTGAGTTCTTGATTAGTTTGAGAACAAATCACCTAGAGGGTCTTTTCCTGTGATGTCTGCCCCTAACCCATATACCTGAGATGCTACTTTTGGTTCTTGGTCTGAAATGGGTGGATTGTCAATGGTGATGAGTATAGGATTGCATTCTAAATTCTGGCAGTTATTTGGCAGGGAACACTTGGACAGATGTAGTTTATTCTTCAAGGGTCTCCAGCTCAGAGTTACCCACTTCACGTTTACTGTCCAGCCCTTAAACTGGGTAGTCCACCATACATCATTCCATCTGGAGCACAGTGATGCCCTTACTGTAACCTACATTTGGCTCAGGGCAAAAATATTTATCTGCCTACGAGAGCTGTCTCTGATTTTCTACATTCCCAGAAGGTAAAACCTGGAATGCATCAAATCTTCTTTTTTTTTTCTTGAGACAGAGTGTCGCTCTGTCGCCCAGGCTGGAGTGCAGTGGCATGATCGCGCCTCACTGAAACCTCCACCTCCTGGGTTCAAGCGATTCTCCTGCCTCAGCCTCCCAAGTAGCTGGGACTACATGCACGTGCCACCACACCCGGCTAATTTTTTGCATTTTTAGTAGAGACAGGGTTTCACCGTGTTAGTCAGGATGGTTTTGATCTCTGGGCCTCATGATCTGCTCACCTTGGCCTCCCAAAGTGCTGGGATTCCAGGCATGAACCACCACACCTGGGCGGCACCAAATCTTACAATCTGGTGTGCTACCATCTTGGTCACATTAATCACCAACCTGACTAGGTAGGGAGGAGTCCCCTGCCAGTTTCCATTCTTACCTTCTGCTCTTTGTATAGTAGCCCATCCCAGCCATATTAACTTCCATAAATGGGGCCAGCCCATGTTTTCTTTTTAGATTTTTCTCAGAGTTAACTTCAAGGGTTCCTCAGGTGACCTGTGCACTTTCCACTGGTCTTTTCCCCTCCTTTCCAGGGTTTCTCTTACCAGTCCCTTGACTCAAGTATACTGAGCTCACCCCCGTTCCACTGTTCACACAGCTGTCTCAGTGGTCAGGAGCGCTTGGTAGGGACCTTCCCAGTTTGGGTGGAGCTTGTCTTCTTCCCAAGTCTTAATCAGCACCAAGTCGCCGGGCTGGAAGTGCTGAACCTGAACTCTAGAAGTGGAGTTTGAGTCAGAAGTCCTTTTAACCTGAGGGATGACAGGGTGGAGGATATGGTCAGTATACAATTTCTTAATAATTTGTTCTTGGTTTCCGTAGTAAGAAGATCTGTAGCCCTGCCCAAATATGGGAGTCCATATCATAACCCATAGAAGGACAATCCCAAGGCATCTTAGTTTCTAAGATTAGATTGGTGATATGCTTTATGAGAGTTGATTTATTCTTTCTACCTTTCCAGAGGAAGGGGGATACCAAGGGGTGTGATAATCCCAACTAATTTGTAAACCTTCCATAATTTCCCTTAACACCCTTGAGGTAGCTTCCTTTCTAACTTCATGCAGTTCAAAGAAATCACTTCTCTTCTAACAAAGGGCAGCCTGAAAGTTCAGGCTGTAAATCACAGATAAACAGCTTAAGCACAGAAGGAGGGGTGGGAGAAAGACTCTTGGGTAATCACCAACTTCACACTCATAAGATGTGCTCCAGTAAAAGTAAGGCCTTAATAAGCACATTCGTTTCCCTTTAGGCACACTAAGGTAGGGAAGCTAAGAGAGGACTTGGGCGGATGCCTACAGCTGCAAGAAGATGTCGGGGAACAGACACAGAAACTCTGCCCTCCAGATAAGCAACCCAAAGGAGTGTTGTATGGTGACATGCAAGGTTCTAATAGTCCATTTTTAATCAAACCCTCTATTTCTGGTTGGAAATCTTTTCTCCCTTCATGGAAATGGGATATTCTTTTCTGCAAACTACTTTTACTGATTGCTTTAGTTCAATCTATAAGGGTGTGATTTTTAACCCTCTCCTGTTGCCGTCCCCAACCCACACAGGGGGATTAATTTTTTCTTTCCTCCTCCTCTGTTAGGAGGCTCATCTTTACTTTTATTTGTCCTTCCTCTATTCCTTATCCTAAACCCAATCTCACACTCAGTCTCTACCTAGGAGGTTAGTTCCTGCTTCATGAACATATAAGAATGGCCCGTCAATTTGTTTTCATCCCAATCTAAGTAACATTGTCTTGACTATCAGAACTGGAAATCCCTCCCCTTTCACCCCTCATACTGTCAATTTTTCCTAGAGAATTCTGTAACCCTTGGTTGGTGAATTAGGGAGGAGCGAGCCTCCCCAGCATTAACCAAATATGTCATTTCTTCTGCCTCTGGTCCTACCTTCAAATTTATCAAGGGTTCCTGGTGGGACCTACTCAGGAGGAACCCCTGAACCCCCCTAGTCTTCATTAAGGGTCATGAGGGGGATCACCTTTTCTTCTTTTTTTCATTCAGGACATTCTCTCTTAAAATGCCCTCGCTTTCCACACTGGTAACATCCACTTATAAAAAGTAAAGTAGAGGTTGCTCTTCAAAGACTTTCCTCCCCGTCTAATTACGAATAAATAGTAACTTCTCTTAGAAGCAAAATTTATTCAAAGACCTGTGCTAACATTCTTAAATATCTGCTAGCCGTAATAAAGAAATCAATGTACTTTATGTTCTTAGCTCCCACAATTTAGCCTAAATATTTGCCCTGGTATGTTTATACTGGTCCAAGCAAGCATTAGGTCATAGCCTGTTCCTCTTCCTTATTTAAAAGTGTTTTTACCCTTCTCAGCATTCCGCAAGTTACTTCCTCCTTCCTTTGTTCTCCTCTACCTTTTCCTCTTTTAAAAAGTTCTAAGTTGCTAGCCAATCAGTACAAATACGGAATGTGAGGTCCCGTTCCAGCCAATGGAAACCGGACACAGCAGTAGGGTGGATGCATCAGGTTTTAAATGACCCTGTCTCTTTTGTTCAGTGTGCTCTCATGGCAAAACTGCTGGCAAGTGTACCCTTTCTGCAGGAAGTAAAAATGGCCTTACTAAATAAATTATTTATGTTCAAGTGCTATTTCTTTACGGCACCAAGAAACAAGTATTTCAAACATACTCATGGACTTTTCCCTGCATCTCCCTTCTTTCTCTGTGTCAAAATCCACCACTCCCTTGTCTCCTTCCAGTGGGATCTTGATCTAACCTTTTTCTGACTACCTTTTCCACAGTGGAAACCATGATTTTCGCTTTTTGTTTCTGCTTCTCTTCCTCTCTCCTTACAAAGACATGAGCTTCTCTCAGGAATTCCTCAATCAGTTTTTTATTCCATCCATCAATCTTTTGCAGTTTCTTTCCGTTCTTCCTCAAGTAGCCCCATCAGCCCTTTTGCGGCTTTACCAACAGAGGCACCTGCTGGACTTACAGCCTGTCAGTAAATCAACAACAAAACCTTTTTTTAAAAAAAGTTTTGAGTCTCTATCTCCAGAATGGAGTGCAGTGGCTCAATCTTGGCTCACTGCGACCTTCACCTCCCGGGTTCAAGCGATTCTCCTGCCTCAGCCTCCCGAGTAGCTGGGACTACAGGCACGTGCCACCACATCCAGATACTTTTTGTATTTTTAGTAGAGACGAGGTTTCACCATGTTGGCCAGGATGGTCTTGATCTGACCTCGTGATCCGCCCGCCTAGGCCTCCCAAAGTGCTGGGATTACAGGTGTGAGCCACCGTGCCCGGTCCAACAACAAAATCTTAATGGTCATCTTATCCATTTACCCTTCTATAACCTGAATTCTTTCTACCGCCTCCTGACAAACAGTCATCTAGTCTTTGCTGTAGGCAAACCACTACTCCTCAAACAGCTTGATCCTAAACTCCCCTCCACATCCCTTTCTCACTTGCTTCCCCCAGTTCCCAGGCTCTGTCCCTCCTCAGTGGCCACACTGCACCCTTTCCTTGCACCTCCTTGTTGCTTGAGCCTCTAGAACTTTCCCCCAGCCCTGTCACACTCTCCATATACTCTCAATTCCTCTGGTACTCTTTCTTCCTTTTACAATATTTTCCTCCCCGTCTCACCTTCTGCATCTCTCTTTGATCTCTGTCATTTCCAGTCTCTTTCTCGATCATTTTCTTCTTCTATTTCACCCTCTCTTCCTCCCCTGTTTCATTTCTCCCTTTCCCAGTTTCTCTTTTCTTTCTTCTTTGAGGGGGAACACGGGGGCTAATTCCTTGATCCAGCAGAGAGCGGAACCTATGTCTTCTTGTGAGGATGGGGTTTTGGTATTCACATAGAGAATTAAAGCTTGGCATGCCCAATCGTCATCTGAGCCAAACTTAGACCAAAAGACTGAAGGCTTACAAATGGAGTCTTTGGGCCAGATAAAACAGCAATACTTTATCATGTTTTGCTTTTCCTTGTCCCTGGTTCAAGGCTTGTCCCCTTCCAAACCTGCAACATTCTCCCCAAAGGACTATCCAGGGTAATGCCAGAGGGACTCTCTTTGGCTCCCTCTTTCCTTTGTCCCCTAGACCTAAAGTTCCTGTCTCCCATTTTCAGCCAGTCTCTGTGTCCAAGTTTTTCCCTGTGTACTCAGCCCCTCTTACTGGAGGTTTCTTGCACACCCGTGTGTACTCAACCCCCACTTACTGGGATTTTCTTGCATATCCCGAGATCTCTGAAAATGCCCAACCACCAAGGCAGTACTTGCAGTCCAACTTTCCTACCTTGGCTGATGCAAGAGGTTGCCTTCGTTGCCACGGTGCCTGCTTTTCTCCCTGTGTCACCTCCAGTGTCTCCTGAGTAACAGTCTCCAGTTGATCTATGGCTTTTGTGGGGAGCTTGTACTGCCCAGACAGAGTAGGCCACCTAAATCGGGTGGGACGCGTCTCCCCTCTCAGCTGGAGTCCCACTCCACACAGGCACAGAGATCCCGGACAGGCCCCCAGGTTTGTGAGAAACACACTCACGTGTCCAAACCCAAAGAATGGACTTAGAGGTACGGACAACAGCGAAAGTGAGACTTTTTAATAACTGCCTTGCAAGACTGGGTCTCTGGTGGAAGGCACACCTGGGACAGTCACAAGTGGTAATTTATCTCCTAGCATGCAAGTTCCTCCCCCAGTTCCTCACTGGTTGAGTACTATGGGGCTACAATCTTCTGGGATGTCACCTAAGTTTCATTATCCCCCTTATAAGGTTATACTGTGGTCCCCTTTCCCACTTAAGTTTCAATTTCCCAATAAGGAAAATTTCTTCCCTTTTATGAGCTGACCCCTCCTCTACATTCTGTTCACTTATTGTGACCCTCTAGGTGCATAAGCTGTGCGGTTTGCTACATTTGCAGGCTGGCTGCCAGTACTGAGATTTATCATGTGTTGAAAACAGGCCATTTAAAATGTTTTAATGTTTTCTCACAGTTATTACTGTGACATATACTTCTGTAGCTGTAAAATAAACACCTATGTAAGGGTAGTATTTTTATAATATTTATATACATCCCTTCACTTAATAGATACATTCTAATAAAGTTACGTGAAAAGCAATTTTGATGAATCTTATTATTAATTTTCTAGAATTTTTTATTGTTCATATGAAAGGACTTCTATGAAAGCCAAAACTAATTTTAATAGAAAAAAACTAGTAGCATCTTACAAAATCTTTACAGAAAAAATAGAATTTTAGCATTAATATATAAACTTTTTGTAACTATAGTTATATTTCCCCAAATTCTGAAAATTTCTTATCAAAATTGTCTACATTATATGCAAGTATTTCAACTTTTAAACATTTTAATTTTGCAATTCATTTAAATCTATCAAAATTGTAGCTACTGTAATGAATTTGAAATGAGTGAAAAACTAAATATTATGAAAAAGCAAGAAGATGTAATATGATGTCATATATTCATGTATAATTTCTTACATGCATGGATAGTGGAAAAACATCTGTCTCCATTCACACAGTATTATATATATGTAGCAAAATTATGAAAATTGGATTCTACTAAAAATTATTCACTCGGTTTTGAAATTACCATTCTTTATCATTGTCTTGGACCAATAACTAATGAACTAACACCAAGGCATAAAAGAGGATTATTAAATACTTATATATGTATATATATACACGAATATATATATATACACACACACACACAAACACACACACATACATGTGTACACACAAGGAACAAACATTTTATTAATTCACTATATGCTACTCTAATTTCTGTCCCTTTTCCCTATGAGGCATCAAAAAGCAGCTTGCAAAACAGAAATTCTCAAACTATAATGGAACATATATTATTAATTTTACTAACAAAAGCACATTTTTAGATTTGTATGCCATAAAAGACTGAAGATGCAATCATAGACAACTTCAAGAATTAATGGGCCTTAATTATTATTGATGTAAAAGCCTAATGTACATAACAAAACATGCTTCTTGAAAGAATTTTTAAAAATTAGAGTTTAGTTTCTGGATGGCCATAGAAAAATTATGACTGTTTCCTCAGGATGGTGGAATCAGGAATGTTTTCATTTTTTTCTTTGGGTCACTGTGTTTTCTAATATTTCTGTAGTGACTGTGACAAAGCTAATAATACGAAAAATAGTTTATTTTTACTTTTGTGCCACGAGCTTTTTCCCTGAGAATGCTGAGTATTAGCTAATATCACACTATAGAAATCACATTTCAATTCAACTGTGTGCCTTCAGCCAAATATAAATCTAGAAAAGAAGGCTTAAGGAAACAAATGAATAAAACTAAATTGATAAAGAAAATGATTTCATACCTTTTGAAAGCTACTTAGGGGCATATTTTGACCTAAAAATTAGCAAACACCCGTGTCCCAATCAGACTACAAAAAGTAATTTATCTTTGTGTCTATAAGGCAGATGATACTAACAAGTTAGGGCTTAAGGCATTATGGTCACTAGACTCAGCAAAATCAGGATTCATATCTGATTTTCTCAAATGAGCGTCTTTGATACCTCAAATTAGTCATTTGCACCTCTGTGAAACTCAGATTATTCTTTCTATAACATTAATAAAATGGTAACAATTGTTTAGAAGGCATTTTACCTGTCCTAAAAATTAATTAAAATAATGTATGTGGCCGGGCGCGGTGGCTCACGCTTGTAATCCCAGCACTTTGGGAGGCCGAGGCAGGCGGATCATGAGGTCAGGAGATCAAGACCCCAGTGAAACCCCGTCTCTATTAAAAATACAAAAAATTAGCCAGGCGTGGTGGCGGGCTCCTGTAGTCCCAGCTACTCGGAGAGGCTGAGGCAGGAGAACGGCGTGAACCCGGGAGGCGGAACTTGCAGGGAGCCGAGGTCGCGCCACTGCACTCCAGCCTGGGTGACAGAGGAGACTCCGTCTCAAAAAAAAAAAAAAAAAAAAAAAAAAAAAATTATGTAAAGCACCCATGAGGAATACACATTTTTAAAAGATTTCTTTTCTTCCTCTTTGTAAAACAAAAATTTTAAAGGTAATGATGTTTGACCAGGTGTAGTGGCTCACATCTGTAATCCCAGCATGTTGGCAGGCCGAGGCAGGCGGATCACTTGAGGCCAGGAGTTTGAGACCAGCCTGGCCAATAGGGTAAAACCCCATCTCTACTAAAAATACAAAAAGAAACAAAATTAGCTGGGCCTACTATAGTCCTGCTACTCAGGAGGTTAAGGCAGGAGAATCGCTTAAACCTGGGAGACCGAGGTTGCAGTGAACTGAGACAATGCCACTATACTCCAGCCTGGGTGACAGAGAGAAGACTCGGTCTCAAACAAAAGAAAAAAAGATAATGAAGTTTATTGTAAAATGTCTCTCCCAGCCGTGCGCGGTGGCTCACGCCTGTAATGCCAGCATTTTGGGAGACCGAGGCGGGCAGATCACTGAAGTCAGGAGTTCGAGACTAGCCTGGCCAACATGGTGAAACCGCGTCTCTACTAAAAATACAAAAATTAGCTGGCATGCTGGTGGGCGCCTCTAATCCCAGCTACTCGGGAGGCTAAGACAGGCGAATCGCTTGAACCCGGGAGTCAGAGGTTGCAGTGAGTCGAGATTGCACCACTGCACTCCAGCCTGGGCAACAAAGAGTGAAACTCCATCTCCAAAAAAAATGTCTCTCCCTACCTGGCCTTTTTCCTTCTCTGCCCACTCTCACTGAATTTGTAAAAGAAAACAATTCTGATGTTTTAAATCCATGTTTTTGCCTGCCTTTTCATGATTATACTGGTTAGCAATTATTAATGTTTTCACTGAAAAGTGAAGCGATCCATTTCCAATTTTCTCATCAAATGCTGAAAATTTAGAGAACTCTACTTTGATATATTGGAATTATTCTTTTGCTTTTATAATTGTTGGTCTTAAAACAAAATTTACCTTGTCAGGTTCTGTTTATGACAGAGTTGTGTTTACTAGAATAGCTCTCTCACAGGTAACAATCACAAACTCTAAACATGATGCAAAAATTGTTTGAAGGGTCTGCAGAGACAACCTACACAGACAAGAACTAGAGGCACTCAACTCTTGATTAAGAGGTTGCAATGTGATTGCATGGCAAGGTCATCACTAGAATGACATGATAGCAGGAAATATAAAGAACATATTCATGGGTGAAAACATGTTTAAGGAATCTACATTTCTTATACTTGCAAGTTTCTCGTAGGTTTGAGTTTGCTTCAAAATAAAAATATGAAAAATGAAATATGTAAATATAGGCAATTTGAATATTAATTGACAGCACATCTACTGTACTAAATAAGCATACAAAAGCCAGTGTATCGCTATTAAGGTAAGGCAAATTCTATCAAAAATATTGTGATAGAAATATGGAGGTAGCTGCTGCAAAGGAACAAACCTAATATTCCAAAATAAGAGAATTTTTGAAGGTATTTTTTAAAAAGAATCACTACCTTTAGTAAAATTGTGTGACATAAAAATCTAGCCAGAGGCATCAAATTAAAACACTTGGCCTCAAATTATATCAACTATAAAATCATCATCTTGTAGTTAATAATGAAACAGTTAGGCCTTACCAGTGAATAAATAAATAAGATCAGATTTTATTGAAGAATTTCTCTTTTTTTTCTATAAAACAATGGAAACATTAAATAAACATCCCAATCTGACATGAATCACAGTGTTGCAAAACCAATTTCAACTTTAAAACATCTACATGGGAGGCTTTACAAGTTAAATCCACAAAGGACACTTTATCTGGTATGATTCTGTATCTACAGCTAAAGATTCTGCAGCAAAATAATGAATGGAGTTTTTCTAACTCAGGTTGAAATGTAGGGTACTTTGTATTAGATTAGACAAGCAATGCATCTGAAGACTCTGCTTATAATCTGATTGCAGTGTTGAAATACTGTTCTATTAATTCCCTATTGATGACCAAATATTTGAAAGTAGAATATATCATTAGAGCATGGAATTTTGATGTTTGTTATGACTCATGCATTTTTAGATATACAACATTTCTGTCATGTCCAAAATATAGGAAAATCTGCCTTCTCTTAAGTTCCCTTCTTAAAATACCTGAAAGTAAAGTGCTTCTAGACTTTCTGGATAGGGTATAAATATTCCAGAATCGGAGTTTATTTTATAGGAAGCTTTATCCTGATTTTCTTACCAATGGTAGCAAATTCATTAGTAAAGATTAATTCCACCTTTCTGACTCTAAACCTTGAATTTACCCTTACTCCTTGTTCAGTGTGCTTCCGTGCACCTCTCCATTCCTCCTGACTCTTGCCCTGGAGATCACTGCCTATACAGGTAGCTATCAAGAGTGTCCAGAAATTATACCACTTTTTATTACTGTGTGGAAAATCACAAGTAACAACCTTGGTTACAAAAAGACACACAGAACAGCTACATCATTAATTTCTCCATCTGGCTTTTTACAGTCTTTGGGTTCTTGGACATTCTCAGTTGCTACGAGATCCAATCCTTGTTAGAGTGCTCACCTTCCCAGAGTTACTTAGGTTTAAATTTTTTTTAATGAAATACCTCCAGGTAACCTGTAGAAATTTCTCAAATGGTGGTTTCTACTGTATCACCATTGTAGCTACATTCCCCTTGTACTGCAAAAACCAGAAACCTCGTGAGGCTGATTGAATCAATCTTTTTTGCCCTTCTCAGCTTATTCTTTATTCTCCTACAATTCTCATTGAGATACCCTATTTCTGTTTACATAAGCCTGATTTTCTCCTACATCAAGTGCTATTTAATATCTCTGACATTTTTCATGATACATTTCCACCCAATTATGAGTTTATATTTTAAAATATGCAGATTTAGATGGATAAATTGTAGAATAAACACAAACCATATAGTTTTTGTAACACAAAGGGTACATAGAATATAAAAATTTGGAAAGATTTGCTACATATCTTTGTCAAAAAGTTTACAAATCTCTACCCTTGATAGCATCCCTCAATAACATTACATCATAAGAATATTCTGGGTTTGCTGTACAAAGGTGCCCTCTGTGCAAAGCTGGATGAACTCCAGGTAGTTTATATGCTGGTGTTGGCACAATGCACAGATTTATATATCATTCTTTATTTTGACAGTATGCTGACATGGAGTTGAGCCAACATACAGACCTTGCAGTGTCCATGTGGCTCTGCCTCTCTGAGGGGTTGGGACACATTATGCTTTGTGCTTGTACCTCACAAAAGAAACCACAATGCAATTGAGAAGATTCTATAAGTTGTAAGTGTCATCCAGAAATTTTTCACAGCCTACTGAAGTTTCTATTCTTGTTGTATTTCTTATTTGAATGGCTTGAGGTCAAGTCTGACTTTAGTACAATTCCTGGTTGGACTGAATTCTGAAATAATACAACTTTTCTTTTATCTCATTCTCTCCCTTCCCTTTGTTGATTTACCCTGACTGCCAGCCCCACTGCGGTAACATGAGGACTGGATGCTATTCCCCACAAGCAACTCACCTTAAGTGCTTAGTAGTTATTAAGCCAGAAAAGATGGATTTAAAGCTCTTAAGAAATGTCTCACTTCTTACTATAGTAATTACAGTTTCCTAAAGAGTAGCAGGTATCTAAAAAAGCAAAAGCAAAAAACAAATCATTTATAAAGCATTTTGTGCAATGTGGTCTATAACAGATACATTCTCTCACTACTTAAAACCAGAATAAGTTTTCAGATGCAAATTTTTAAAAAGGACAACGATGCCACCTAATAATAAAGCTTATTGGGATCTATACTGGCTTAGCAAAAACAAAAGGATTAAAATCATAATAATTGTACATAGATAAATGTAACTAATGTAATATTATTTTAAAATAAGCTAGAATTTGTACCACCATAAAAATAAAATATGAATAATATCTATCAATTAGAAAGCACTATTCAAAATGCACTCATTTCATCCAAATACTTTTAAAATAACTTCTTTTGACAGTGTTGAATCTTATGAAGGTGATATGTTCAGCTCTCTTCAAAACTGAATTCCATTTCAGAGTATGATTTAAAAAAAGTCACTGAAGTGTCTATCATCATTGAAATCAAGGATTTCAGAATCCATTTTATCTTCTTGTATTGGAATATCAACTCTGGGTGTGATGACCTGAATTCTGAAATATCTCATTTTTAAAAACTGTAGTAGCCTAAAAAATGAAGAGATCCAAGTCCCACCTTGAAATTAGTCTATAGATAAGTAGGATGAGATCCAAGTCCTTACCTTGAAATTAGTCTATAGATAAGTAGCATAGACTTAATGACCTTGGGCAAGTTATCTTTACCAAACAGAACCTGAAATTCAATTATATAAAAAGATCGGATCAAATGAATTGTGACAAATGATCTTCTATTTTATTTCAACTCTGTCTAGCTTGTCTTTAATATTTGGCTATCTTGATCAGAAATTACTAAGTCCCTACAATTGACCATCGAATAGGGTTCTTAATCCTGGCATGATCAATATTTTGGTTCCAGTATTTATTTGTTTTGGGAATGGTCTTTTATATGGTAGCATGTTTGCAGCATTCCTCGCCTGTGCTTACTAGATGCCAGAAGCAGTGTTAATCAAAATGCAGCAACCAGAAGTGTATTCAGATATTACCAAATAGTCCTGTCCCTGGAGGTATAATCACCCTTGGTTGAGAACTACTGCTGTGGAAGAAAAGGAACAGTACTTGTATATGTACTGTTACCTTAAATGTATTAATATTACCATTTTTTCAATTCATTCATTCAAACTCTGATACAGTAATTCCATAATAATTGACACTGGAAAAGTGTTTGCTTTCCACTATTCAGTATTCTATTTTGGAAATAAAATATCATCATGTAATTATCTTACATTCGAAAGGAAATGGAAGTATGTCAGCAAACAGATTATTCAGTTTGAAGTACTTTGCTTAATTACTTCTGGCAGTTATTATTTAGTACCTGAGTGGATACTACAGAAAAATTTTTTTAAAATTCTTAATAGCTTACAATCTCAGAATGTGATTAGAAAATCCAGACCCAACTCATCATACTCAAATACAAAAAAAAGTTATAAAATTGTCCTAAATTTCAAATTTTCTTAAAGTCATTTTGTTTATTGCATTGCATTTGCTGAAATTTAAAGTAAGAAAACAGTTTTGATTTTTTAGGAAAATTATTTTTTGTTACTGTCTTTAAATATCAAGGTATAGATATTTGAGATCTTTTATTTTTAGACAACATTGTTTCTGTCCTCATAAGTTTATTTCTTAAAATAAACAATGTACACAAAGTTGTAAATAAATATGGTATACTTACGTATATTTAAGTGAAAAATATATTATTCTTAAGATAGTAATGTGTTGCCACATTTGCTTTTGACATACACAAAGATTTCCTAATTTCACTAGAAGAAATAACATTGCTGTAGTTTGGAAACTTTCTAATAAAATTCTATAATTTCAAAAATGTAAGAATGCCAACCTAAGAGCTAATACTGAAGTAAATCATACATTTGGTTAAATAGGAGAGTTACAGAGTCATCTAAACAACATAGAAGGAGGCAAGTAATTGATAGTTATTCATCTCTGACAGCTTAAGAGCTCTTCAGCCAGGGTGGGCACAGTGGCTCACACTTGTCATCCCAGCACTTTGGGAGGCCAAGGTGGGCAGATCACGAGGTCAGGAGTTCGAGATCAGCCTGGCCAACATGGTGAAACCCGTCTCTACTAAAAATACAAAAAATTAGCCGGGTATGGTGGTGTGTGCCTGTAATCCCAGTTGATCAGGAGGCTGAGGCAGGAGAATCGCTTGAACCCAGGAGGTGGAGGTTGCAATGAGCCGAGATTGCACCATTGCACTCCAGCCTGGATGACAGAGCAAGACTCTGTCTTGAGGAAAAAGAAAAAAAAGAGTTCTTCAGCTAATAGTCAAGGTAGATTAAGCACTAGACATTACGGTTTCCCCAGTGATACTTTTCTCTTCCACTTTGACTTTTAGAAGCTGTCAAGTCCTACTGTTGCTTAAATATTTAATTCAATTCAACATTTCAGTATGTTAAGTAAGTGTGAAATGCTAAAATTTAACTGTATATTGGCCCACACTTTTTCACTGATTTTTTTCTGTACCAAAAAGGAGACTGTTTGCATGTTTAATAAGTATTATATATGATTGCATATGTATGCATATAACTATGCCTATATGTATAATACATAAATATATACACATACACCCCTATGCATGATTGTGTGCATGTGTTTGCTTTTTTCCCCTATAAAAATAGGCAAGATGTATTGGGCCTTGACTATGTATTATATGTTGTTATATAACTTCGTAAGCATATTATCTCATTCATTATTAAAGCCATAGGCTGGGAGTGGTGGCTCATGCCTGTAATCCCAACACTTTGGGAGGCCGAGGTGGGTAGATCATTTGAGGTCAGGAGTTCAAGACTAGCCTGGCCAACATGATGAAACCCCATCTCTACTAAAAATATAAAAATTAGCTGGGAGTGATGGCGGGTGCCTGTAACACCAGCTACTTGGGGGCTGAGGCAGGAGAATCACTTGAACTTGCAAGCTGGAGGTAGCAGGGAGGCGGAGGTTGCAGGGAGCTGAGATTCTGTCATTGCACTCCAGACTGGGTGACAAGAGCAAAACTCCATCTCAAAAAAAAAAAAAAAAAAAGAAAGAAAACATGGTATAATTACATTTTAACATGAAGAATCAGAGAGGTTAAGTTTGAATCTAGAGGCCACATTATTATCCACTACATTATTTTATTAGGTTAAACAGAAGGAGAGGAGAAAAACATATTTCGATAATTTAGGCACTAATTTCCAAAAAAAATTAAGCTGAACAAGTTGAGAAATTTTGCAGCTCTGGTACATTGGTTGGCATTTTTCCCTTACCCCTCAAACTTACAAACACATTGAATCATTCTGTTCTCTTTTTTTTAGCCGAATCTAAAGGACTCTTTTGCAATGTTTCCTGACATTTACACCTGTAGTTCCAAATCATGGAAATTAAGCCTGGGAGAGATGAAACATCTTTAGCTCCAAGAGGAGATTAAACTGGTTTTATTAGATAATTGACAAATCATTTCTTTTTGTGGTAAAAACTTTCAGGGGCAAAATAAATTTCTAAATTTCTCTTTGCAAGGGGAACCACAAGAGTTAATAGGTAGCCTACTAGGGATTTTAATAGGCACAACCAATTCAAATGCACATTGTGGCCAGTGAGGAAACATAAGTAAATGATATATGACAAGAATAAATGCCTATGCAATTATTGTGCAAATGGTGGGTGCTGGTAAGGGGGTGCCTGTACCCCTCTGAAAGACGTAGCTGCTGCTCAGTCTATGGATAGCAGTTACCACATGGAATTGAGTCTGCTCTTGTTTGAAATTTCCATCTGTTTAGGAGATTTCAAAAGCATATGTTTATGAATATTAAGTAAATTATATAATTTAAACAACATTTAAAAATATATATGTAGGCCAGGTTTTTGTGGCTCTTGGTTTATCACCAGGTTGCTTTACAAAATAATGGGTGGGCTATTAGGAAATAGCTAACAGGAAATATCTCACAAGGAAAATATTCAATTAGGAAAGGAATAGATCATTTTCCTAATGTCGAGGATAGTAGATCGTAGGTATAAGGTTGTAGAGGGTACTGTACTAAGGTGACATAATCACCCAACATGAAAGGATGATGTAGGATTGACAGTTTAAAGTGGAACTCACAATATACAGGCTGTCCTCCACCCATTTGGAAAGGACAAAGAGAAAGTACAAACCATCTTTAAGAATGCATTAATACATTATTTGGGTGATGGATATCTTAAAAGCCCTGACTTCACCTCCATGCAATCTTGCATGTAACAAAATTAGACTTGTACCCTATAAACTTATACAAATAATAAAAAAGGCATTAGCACTTATAACTGTAATTATTTAATAATCTATTTAATATTTCTTCTCTGCCATGGAATATAATATACTGGTTAGACATGGAAGGCATAAAGTCAGACTATTTAGTCAAATATGACCCCCTCAACTCTTACTACCTCTGTGGCTTTAGTGTTTACAGATATGCAGGTAAAACTGATACTAGGCATAAGACAAAATCTGCCAACCTGAAACCAGTGAAATAATTGCAAATTTGCAGAAGAGAGATTTGCAAGTAAAATCAATGGAGATAGAAATGCTGGGCTGATGTATGTGTAGGGGGATAAAAGTTAGGTTATCTGTGAATACATTGACTGGAAAATTGCTCTGAAGCTTTGATAATGACACCCTTACTTCCAGGTAATACCACCACCATTTCTGGGAATATTTTTTGCTGCTCTTAATTTATGACCATAACAGAGTCCTGTTTAAACATGTCAAAAAAAATGTATTACGGGTATAGGACCTTTGACTTTGATCAAAATGCTGATGTAGTTGGAAGCATCTGGGATATAGCACTTTAAACCTTGGCATCAATTTGATGTTATGGATGACCAGATTGTACACCATTTGTGTGTGAATGATATGAAAAACTAGCTTGTAGTTTGTTGAGTCTCACCACTAGCCTCTATTTTAAGACCTTGATGAGTGCTTCTAAGCATCACCTCAGTAAAAATAGATTTGTATTGAAGCCAGCTGGATCTTATTCAGGAATAAATTTCAGACAGGCAAAGAAACAGCTGGAATACAGTTTCTCCTACATGGGGTACCAAAGAAGATGTATGGTTGGGTGTCCTACAAATATGAAAGGTATTAAATGACAGATGCCTATATGTTTTTTGGTTTAATAATGTGAGCTAGCAGGATAATGTAAATATAGTAAGCTTGAAATTTTCTTTATCTGCAAAAGTATGAAAAAGTGTTTTAATTATGTCAAGCCCATGATAGCTTGAGATTTTAGGATTTTGAGTATAAAATATATTTAAAAAGTATAGAAATCTTAGGCATGAAGTTCAGTTTTCCAAAGTAAATATGTCCAGGCAATTAACAGAGAGATCAAGGAATAATGTAATATCCCAGTTCCTCTGTGGCAGCACTCAAGAACTATCTCAGTTCTAGCCCCATTTATCTCTCAAAGTATACATTAGCCTAACTTCTAGCACCATAGGTTGGGTTTTCCTTTTACAATATTGACTTTTTTTGTCTAGCTTCTTTCAGGTAAGTGTGTGTGTGTGTGTGTGTGTGTGTGCACGCGCGCAAATGTGTGTGAGAGAGAAAGGGAGACAGATTCAATCACTTTACTTCATGAAGCTTGTTTTCTTAGTAATTCTATTATTATATAATATTGTGTTGTATCATTGCAAAACTATATGCATTCTACTATTGTAGGGCAGTTGCCACATCTCCAGTTTGAGATTATTATAAATAATACTTCTATAAACATACATCTACATGTCATTTAGTACACACTTTTACTTGTGTGTGATTGATATATGATAGGAAGAAGAACTGCTGGTCCTAGAAGATACAAATAATCTAATTCATAATATTCTACTAAATAATTTTCTAAAATGATTATATTAGTATAAAATTCCTCCAGTGTCAGCACAAATAGAAACACTACCTCCCAAAATTTATCATTTGTTAGTCTCCTAATTTTGGTCATTTCTGTTGGTGTGATTTGCCATTGGGATTTAAACTGAATTTTCTCAATGGTTAATGAGGTTAAGCACCTTTCTCGTATGTCTCAAGGGCATTTGCATATCTTTTTTCTTTAATGCCAATATCACATTGCATTAATTACTGATGCCTCAGACTCTTGGTTTTCTTTGGCTCTTATGACTTCCATATATATTCTAAAATCAGCATGTAATGTTCTAAAAAGTAAAAAAAAAAATATATAAAAACCTGAGATTTTGTTTGAGAATGCATTAAATATACAGAGCATTTTTCAGAGAATTGACATTCAGAACATTGAGGATTGCAGTCTATGAACATGGATAGTGATAGCATTTAGATTTCATTTATTGTTGTCAATAATATTTCATTGTTAACTGAGTGGAATGTTTGTACAATATTTATTAGGTTTGTTCCTACGTATTGAAGTTTGTGATGCTAATTGCAAATGGTTTCATTTATTATTTTCATTTTAATTATACATTATTGGAATATTAAATTACATTTGAATTTCATATATTGATCCTTTATTCAGCCCACTTCAAAAGTTCAATTACTGATTCTAATTGTTCTTTTGAAAGATTAATTAAAATTTTTTATACAAAATCATGAGTCTACAAAAAATGAGAATTTAACTTCTTCTTTTGTATCCTTATGTTTTTCATTTCTTATTCTTGCATTGTTGAATTGGATAGGAGTTAGAGTGGCATTTTCAATAGAGTTTGTGAGAAGGGAGATACATGTTTCCTTCTATCTTAGAGAAAAGCTTTTAATATTTCACCATTGAACACATTGAATGCTGACATTTGTTAGGTGTGTGTGGTAAGCAGGATTCTTAAATGGCCCATGATTTCTGGCCTCTGATATATCTACACCTTCTCCCATGTATTCAATCAAGTACTAACCTAGTTTTGATTAGTTGTCTGATAAGTTTTATCATTAAAGAGCATTATACTTTTTCAAATTCTTTTTCTTTATTCATTGAGAACTTTTTTTTTTTTCATTTTTCTGTGAATGTGAAATTGACCCAGTAGTCCCATAGACAGGTTTTTGGGGATAAACATGAAATTTGGCCCTTCTAGTCTTGAAGCTTGGAACTTACATTTTTCTAATCTCAATTTCTTCCTCAGGAAAGGTCACCCAGGCCTCTCAGAAAGTATCAAAGAACTGAAACTCACCAGATCACTGCACCAAGGCAATGAGATGCAAAATCCTTCATTCATCATGATTGCTTCCTGGCCCCACCATAGTTCCTGTTTTCTTACACATTGTTACATTTCTTCTCTGTCATGTAAACCCCTAGTTTTAGTTGGCCAGGGAGATGGAGTTGAGACTGATCTCCCATCTCCTTGAGTGCAGCACAGGATTAAAGGCTTCCTTGGCACTTCCTTAGCATTACTTTTCATCTCAGTCGTTGGCTTTCTGTGTGGCAAGCAGCAGAACCTAGAGCAAACTCCTGGTGTTTTGGTAAAAAATGTGGTAAATTAAATGATTTTGACTCTTACAATATTAAAATAAACTTCATTTGATCACGGTGCTTATATTATTCTTTCTTTACGTAGCTGTATTTACTTTGCTAGGATATTGGTTTGTGTTTTGTTTTGTTTTGTTTTTGAGACAGAGTCTCGCTCTATCACCCAGGCTGGAGTGTGGTGGCATGATCTCGGCTCACTGCAATCTCCGCCTCCTGGGTTCAAACGATTCTCCTGCCTCAGCCTCCTGAGTAGCTGGGATTACAGGTGTGCACCACCATACCCAGTTAATTTTTGTATTTTTAGTAGAGATGGGGTTTCACCATGTTGGCCAGGCTGGCCTTGAACTCCTAACCTCATGTGATCTGCTTGCCTCAACTTCCCAAAGTGCTGGAATTACAGGTGTGAGCCACTGTGCCTGGCCAGTGTTTTTTTTTTTTTTCTTTTCTGTGATTATGAGACAGGTGGACAATGGACAGGCTACATATAAAAACAGAACTTTGACCTACTACCTGCAGCAACCCAGAAGACCAAATCCCTTTTTACAATCAATAATCAGGAAGTTAGCTTGTTGTAATTTAGACTTGCAGAAAGCCAGATTTCTATCTCTAGTGACAACTCAGAAAGCTGAACAGTAACTTCTATAACAATTGGATCTAAATGGCCAGGACTTGATTAACAACTGACAGCTTTCCTAATTTTTGTCTCCTCTTCTAACTTAGGATGATGTGGTTTGCCTGTGTCCCCACCCAAATTTCTTCCTGTATTATAGTTCCCACAGTCCCCACATGTCATGGGAGGGACGCCATAATAGGTAATTTAATCATGGCAATGGGTTTTTCCTATGCTGTCCTTGTGATAGTGAATAGGTATTGCAAGATCTGATGGTTTTATAAAGGGCAGTTCCCCCACACATATTCTTTGCCTGCTGCCATGTAAGATGTGCCTTTGCTCCTCCTTTGTCTTCTGCCATGATAGTGAGGCCTCCCCAGCCATGTGGAACTCTGAGTCCATTAAACCTCTTTTTCTTTATAAATTACCCAGTCTCAGGTATTTCTTCATAGCATTATGAAAATGGACTAATACATAGGATCAGCCATAAAAAGCTTAATATGCACCCCCAATCAATCATATAGGATGTCCCTCTTCTGATTAACCCAAGAACATCTTCCCCGTCAATGGCCTCCAATCAGAGCTAACTGAAACCTTCCCATTTTTCCACTGTGAACCTTTCCTATTCTTCTGCCTACATTTGAGTCTCTGCCAAAATTCAACTGAGGGTGACTAAGTTTCCTACCATAACAAGTTCAGAATAAAAAGCCTTTGCTATTCCCATTGTTTCTTCTATATATAGTCATGTGTGGTTAAATGACTGGGATAGGTTCTGAGAAATGAACCACTAGGTGATTTCATTGTTGTGTGGTCATCAGAGTGTACTTACAAAAACATAGATGGTATTGCCTACTACACACCTAAGCTATATGGTAGAGCCTATTGCTTCTAAGCTGTAAATCTGTACAGCATATGACTGTACTGAATACTGCATGCAATTGTAACACAATGATTAGTATTTGTATATCTAAACATATCTAAACATAGAAAAGGTACAGCAAAAATATGATATAATCTTATAAGGCCACCCTCACATACATGGTCTATCATTGGCTGCAATGTCATTATGCAGCACACGAATTTACATATATTGGACAGAAATCATCATCTGGGACTTGAAAACTTAAAATATTTAAATTACGCTTTCTATATCTTCGATACATATAAAACTATTTAGTTTTTCTATTATGTATTTCAACCAGAGTATTCTGTAACTTTTGTCTCCATAGCCCAATGACATCGTCAAAACCCATGATTAGCTTCGCAGCCCATTACTGGCCACTTTCTGCTGGACTTTCTAACTTCCACTTAAATGTGGCAAATACTTTGAAGGAATTTTTGTCACTTTCTCTTAGGAGCTCTCTTCTGAAAACTTGAGTCCTAAAATCTTGTTTGAGGGTAGATTTCTTATGGTTTCAACTCAATTTTTTGCAATATTAGAATTGTTTAATCATGTTTTCTAGCTTTTCTAGATAGTCTTTGCTGGTATTATTTAGTCTTATTTCAATCTAGCGTATCATAGCTAGAAGCAGAAATTTGCCCTGATTTTAGTAAAAGGAATAAGTAGTTAATGAAAGACTAACAGGAAAAATGTTCCAAAAGATTATAAATAGAGACAATAGAGTGATAAGTGATAAAGCTTTTTTTTTTTATTTTTTTTGTGGGGGAAGAAGTCTCACTCTGTCACCCAGGCTGGAGTGCAGTGGCTCCACCTCAGTTCACTGCAACCTCCACCTCCCAGGTTCAAGCGATTCTCCTGCCTCAGCCTCCTGAGTAGCTGAGATTACAGGCACGCACCACCACGCCCAGCTAATCTTTGTATTTTTAGTAGAGACGGTGTTTCACCATGTTGGCCAGGATGGTCTCCATCTCTTAACCTTGTGATCCGCCCTCCTTGGCCTCCCAAAGTGTTGGGATTGCAGGCATAAGCCACCACGCCTGGCCTGATAAAGCTTTTTAATACCCTTATTTTACTAGGATTTGGAATAATGACTTACATTCCCTATACCTGCACACAGAAATTTATTCTATAATCACTTTTCAAATCTCCAATTATTAACACAGCATTCTCTTTTGCTGATTAGTGTAAATAATTTTGCAAAGGTTTTTTCTGAAATTCATGAAATGCCCACTATTAAAAATAGGAACAGTCATATCTTTGTGTTAAAAACTGTTTTGGAGTTATAGAATACCCTTGTCATTCACGGCAGTTAACAGCTGCCATTTTAACTAACAAGCAAAACTAAATATTTTCATTTTACTGTGGTGTGTATTTGAATCATGCTCCCTTAAGTGTGCAATGTGAGAACACATTTCTCAGCTAGGCGGAGACAAGTGGAGAGTCCAGACTCAACATTTCCAAGACATTTTTTTTTTTTCTACTCAGAAAAACATCTGTAATACTGGTAAAAATGTGGAGGAAAGATGTTTTTTATTCAGCTACAACTTACTGTATCTTGTGGGAATAATGATATGGCATAGTATATCTGCACATAAGATAATTTATAAAGCTTTGGAAAATTTTCCCACATCAGTGAATTGTCCTAAAAGCTAATTTGATTGAAAAGAATTGTAATTTTCCCCTTCAGAAACACATTTCTACTCAGCGAGCTTGGTGATTGGCCTGGATGAAACCTATGTTATCTTGAGGAATTAAAGATAAGGTAAAGATGGTGGCCTTATATCTGCCTGACTTGGATCTTCCTTCAAAAAGAATTTTCCATTTAGCTCTAAGGACTACAGCAAACGGAGCAGCTTTCTGCTACAATGGTTTTTTGAACAGCCATTGGTTTTAAGCCCAAGCCACACATTTCCCTAGCAGTCCCCAGACAATAACTAAGGAAAGCCAGGCTGCCAGATAAAGCCTGACCACTTCTGCCCAAGTTTGGACTCCACTAAATGCATTCTTTGCTCCAGAGCTCCACACTGGATTGACCAATGTTTCATCTAATTTGCATCATTATTTAAGGTTCACCCTGCCCCATCATGCTTCCTGCCCAATCATGCTTCCTGTAATTTTTTCCACTTTTATCTTTTACAGTATCATCTGCCCTCCCCCGCCCCCACACATCTGCTTCCTCAAAGATCCAATTGGTACTCTAGTTTAAACCTCCCCAATTCATGTACACGATTCAATCAAGTAGAACTTTTCTTTTTTTATTTTATTTTATTTTATTTTTGAGATGGAGTCTCGCTCTTTTGCCCAGTCTGGAGTGCAGTGGTGTGATCTCAGCTTGCTGCAATCTCTGCCTCCTGGGGTCAAGCGAATCTCCTGCTTCAGCCTCCCTAGTAGTTGGGACTATAGGTGTGTGCCACCACACCCAGCTAATTTTTTTGTATTTTTAGTAGAGATGGGGTTTCACCGTGTTAGCCAGGATGGTCTCAATCTCCTAACCTTCGGATCCGCCCACCATGGCCTCCCAAAGTGCTGGGATTACAGGTGTGAGCCACCGCGCCTGGCCCCATTTTTAGTTTTTGAGACAAGGTCTCTCTGTTGCTCAGGCTGGACTACAGTGGCACAAATATTGCTCAGTGCAGCCTTGACCTCCTGGGCCCAAGAGATCCTCTCTCCTCGGCCTCCTGAGTAGCTGGAAGTATAGGCACACACCATGATGCCTGGAAATTCCTGTTTGTTTTTTATAGAGACAGGGTTTCACTATTTTGCCCAGGCTGGTCTTGAACTCCTGGACTCAAGCAATCCACCCATCCTCGTCTACCAAAGTGCTGCATCTGGCTCAAATAGAAAATTTTTAATAGTGGACATTTATAAAGGACTCTGGTCTAATATGGATGTGAGAAATATCGTGAGCGGACATAGAATGAAATGAAGACTTGGGCCAAACTTTCTTCTTTCCTACCTGACAGTTCACTTCCAATTGTCCAAGCAAAGTTTAATGGAATAGATGGAATGTTAAATAAAGACTAGGAAATTAGTGTAGCTCTTGTGAGCCACACATTTTAGCATCTTATAGACAATGTCACATAAGATAAGGTAGGTATCAGAGTTTCTTTGGAACAAGTACTTGCCACTAGAAGGAGAAATGGTGCCTCATGCTTTAAAATTCCCCCTTTTCTCATTCTCTCCCCCATGGCTCACAGTATTTGATGATCAAAACAGGGCATAGTTCTCATTGGTCCGTTTCTCCTGGAGAAAGGGCATATAGGTGCTCATTTTCAATATTATAATTTCAAAAATGGCTTAGAGATACTGGAGTTTAAGCATTATTGCCTTGAGCTATTTTTTCTTAGGTAAGAAGTGAAGTCTCAGTGATACTCAAGAACTAAATTATTATTCATTGTCATGCTGTTTTCTTGTTTAAAAATTCAAATTAGAATTTTAAACCCAAACTTCAAAATATAAACACTGAGTATAATTCTAGTGTCTTATTTTCAATAGCAAAATCATCATGACAATATTCTGTAAGAAATTTTCAATCACAGGCTAGTAACCAATTTTTCCTTATATCATTTCAGATGTTAAATAACAGTAATGAAAATATTAGGTATTTGTAACTCTAAATGACAATAATTGTGTCTTATGTTAAAGGGTGTATTTATTAGAGTTTTTCATAGCAAGATTTGTTGGAATTTTCCTGTATTTCTACCCTGAACCCACCTTAGCTTGAACTAATCTTGGCTGTTGTTAACTTGTGGTATTGATGCAGGAGGGAGGCAGGGAAGTGCTGGGTAGAGAAGGGCGGGTCCCTGGCGAGGGCTCCACCCCCAGGCCTGTCCCCATGAACCTGGGTGAGAACAGGCATCTTTGTTTTTATGTCCAAATGTTGCATTTCCCAAGAACACCCTGGCTTGCCACATCCCCATCCTTTGCCTATAAAAACCCCATTAGCACACCGACAGGCACCAGCAGATGCTGGTAGACCATTTGCAGTGGAATGACGGGAATGGGAATCTGGCCAGGTGGTCTGAGGAGAGTCTAGCTGCTGAGCACCCCAAATCCAGGGGAAAACCACCTTCCCGCTCCATCCCCCTTCTGGCCTCCCCATCCACCTTGCTGAGAGCCACCATCACTCAATAATAAACCTTGTACTCATTCTCCAAGCCCACATGTGATCTGATTTTTCCGGTATGCTAAGGCAAGAACCTGGGATACAGAAAGCCCTCTGTCCTTGCAATAAGGCAGAGGATCTAACTGAGCTGATTAACACAAGCCACCTTCGGATGCCAAAACTGAAAGAGCACACTGTAACACACGCCCACGGGGGCCTCAGGAGCTGTAAACATTCACCCCAGGACACTGCCATGGGGTCAGCGCTCCACAACCTGCCTGTGTGTATGCTCTCCTAGAGGTTTGAGCAGTGGGGTGCTGAAAAAGGGACCCATTCCCATCGTGTGCCCTGTGAGGGGGATAAGGGAACTTATCGCATTTCAGTATCAAAGAGTGATTTTATATCTTTACTCTCATTTTGTTCTTGAATGCTGGGAAGGGAGTGACACCTGGCCATGTGCCACATGGGTAACTTTGCTTCATGTGCATCCTTCTAACTCTGTACTGAAAGGTTGTTTACTTATAAAGAGCTTTGCGCTCACAGCCAAGGGAACCATACATTCCAACTGTCTGAAGTGACAATAGATCATATAATGATGAATAAATCCTTGCATATTCCAACATAGACAGATGCTGAAGAACAAGAGTTACACTCTTCATCAGTGCCTTAGTCCCAGATTTAGACAGAACACTGAGGGAGAGATGGGTTAGGACAAATTGACTGATAAACTCCCAGTTTCACTGAAATTAAATTCCCATCAATTAACAATATAAATATTCAATTTAATTACAGAATATATGTTAAAATCACATTTTTTAACACTTGATTTCAAAGTAGAGATTTTTATCTACTCTCTCTTTCTCTCTTTATCAATACACACACCCCTACAAATTGATTTTTCTTATAAATAGTGAATACAGGATTCATGTTATTTGATTTTTCAGTTATAATAAATAAGTATATATAAATATAATAAAATACTCTTCCATTTTCTTACATGTAGGTCTACTTCATTCTTTTAAAATGCGTCAAAGTACTTTACAAATACATATACTATAATTTATCTAACTGTATGCCTACTGATGAGTACTCACAGTATTTTTTGTTTTTATTTACACAAACAATATTGTAAGAAGCTTAGTAATTAACTGCCTACTTTATTTCTGTAAAAAAATGAGAATACTGGTTAAAGGGAATGTGCATTTGCCATTGTGAGACATCTGAGCAGACTCAACAGAGAGATGATGAGTGCTTTCCAAGACTTCTTAAAGACTTATTCACTTTTACCCATTTTCTGTCAAAAAAAAAATTAGCTCAATCACTCTTTCTGGAAAATCTAAATCAAAGTATATATGGGGATAAGTATTTCTAATTTCAGTTTGTCTAAGTAAAATAAAGGGACTACTTATCTTTTCAATAGTTTTTCAATAGTTTTTTTTTTTAATAGTTTTCAATAGTTGTTTTTCAATAGTTTTATGGGGGTCTTTTTTACTCTTAAGTTTTAAAATTACCAATAAGTCCATCAATAGATGTTGTTCTTTAATGATAGCTTATATTCACAATAGTCTTTCCCTCTTTCGTTCAGGTCATTGTACTAACTACATATAGTTCTTTTCCTTCAAATGTTTGGCCTCCTATATAATACTTTCTAGTGAGATTAACTATGAACACCTTAACAGTAAGTTATCAGCATAAGCATCTAATTTGACTGTAATAAAACATTGTTTTCTAAAAGTAGTACTTAAAACTGGCAACTATCTGATGTTTCAAATACTTCCCTCTGAAATTACTATGAACATCAAGGCTATGATAAACTCAAACTTAACTAAATAGTTGTAAGGTTATAATGATGTATTTTACTCAAGAATATTCCTACTTGACTAGCAACTTGATGAGTAAACATTAGACCTAAAATGAGTATCTGCGTATGATGAAGTAGGTAATAAAAATAACTTCAGCTGGGATGGAGAAAATATTTTTGTTTTTTTTTTTAGCATTTTAATGAAATATTTATATGAAATATATGCCAGTTTTCATCAGGATAGTTACATGAAATGTTGTACATGCTTGGATTTTTAATCTTTTGCTAAAATTTGTATCCCCTTTTCAACACATCCTTTTTTTTTCTGCATTGTCATTTATAATATGACTAAACAATGTGGGAATGCTGCTCTTGAGACCTAGTTGTCATATGAAAGGTAACAAACCTTTAAAGATAATATAATGTGTGATTTATACATTTTATTTTTCTTTCAAAGCTGTTTGTGGGTCACTTACAGTACCTACAGTCACTGTGACAGCAAAGGAATGACTCTGTGTTAAGAGCAAACAGAAGTGATGTCTCCTTTGATCCCAGCAAATAAAATTCACCAAGTCTTATATGAAATAAGTCTGCTTTCATACAATAAAATATGAGAATAAGAGTTTATCATAATAATAGTAATTCTAAGAAGCTTAAAATATTTATTCTTATTCTAACTGAAGTTTTAATTATTGATCACGAATTAATTTCTATAATGGTAAGTATATAAAATCCTTCATATTGTACAATGGTGTAATTGTATTCACTTCTCTTACATGGTTGCCATGAACAAACTTGTGAGTGATTATCAAATATTTGGGATTCAGACTGGAGGTTGGATGGGCAGAAAGTGTGGGGACTGCTTAGTATGAACTCTGGAGAGGTCTTGCTTAAGACACTTGAGTAGAAGGCCAGATAAGATGGAAAAGCCAAGAGTGTCTCTCACATGAAAAGAGTATTGTCTATAGCTCATTTTAGTTTCAGATTGGAAAGAAACAAAGTGAAGAAAATCTTTGATATTTTCTGGAGGGAAGAACAGTGTTTAAAATATGTAAATTGGACAATGAAGTAAAGAGGGTAGTTGAAAGTTGTACTTAAGAACAGGATGTGCCAACACTCAAATTTATAAATGTTTAAGAGCAGAATTTCTTGTTTTATATTCCGTTATCACCAGAAAAGGACCGACAGTGCAAGCAGTTAAACCAGAATATGCAAATAGAAGTGTCATAATGAACTCATTTCTGTGGAAATAGCTACTAGAAAATGTTAGCACATAGATGAGAAATTCTGAAAAAAATTAGCTATCAACACTAAATATCTGAAGAGAACAAAAACCTTGAAGCTAGTCTTTTATTCTTTTTCTTCTTTTCTATCTTCAATTTTACCTGATTATTCCTTCATCTTTATAAAACTGCTTGTTATTCTCTCTAATTTAGAACAATAAATATCTATAGATAAAAAACATTAAGCTTTGGCAATACTTGAAGCCTGGAGACTCACAAAATAAATGTATAAAAAGTAAACTTTTCAAAATTATTAGGAATTAGTTATCTCACATATTGTCTAAACTAGATTTAAATAAGAAAAAGAAGTTAGAAAAGTGACTGAAGTTGAGACCCTGAAAACAATAATGCTCGAATGTTATACTCCCAATTCCCACACAGCCTCAAAGCAACTTGAAGGACAGCATGCACTGCATGATTAAGATGACTTTATTGAGGCTATTGCATAGGAAGGATGATCACAATGAGAAAGATTTCAAAGAAAAAGAAGGATATCTTGGGTTTTATAGAGGCAGGTGAACAAATGAAACCATCTGCGAGTCTTCCTGGAGTGGTGAAAAGAAGAGAAAATGAATCATACAGAGAAGGGTGGTTCTTTTGCAGTTGGCTTTTTTCTGGAATTAAAAAAAAAAAAAGTGGTGCTAGGAATAGGGAAATGTCTTAACCATAAGCATTTTCCATGAGCACAGGGCCCAGGTTAAATTCAACATTCACCATTTTATTTGAAAATTTTATTTGAATTTGAAAAGAATTATTTATTCTACTGCAAAAGTAGTTTTAATTGCATTATCTGTTACATTCAGCATACATTGAATAGGGTTCCAAATGACAAATTCATTTTAAAATTCACTTCTAAGAAATAATGCTAATGATCCTGAGGAATTGATTTTTTTATTTTATTCGACAATGAAAAGTATATGAAACCACTGTTATAGTTTGTCTCTACCTAAGCTGAGAGCTCAATTGAACATTCAATTACAGAAACTGTATAGGCATATATGGTGGTCTGCATGGTTCCCCATTATTTTCATGGCATTATTTATAAGCATTATAAATTAGCAGTTGTCTTGTTTGCATATAATTTTAACATCACCTAAATCTTTTGGGAAGAAAGCAACATATAAGTAATAAATTTATCTCAATGAAAACAAGGGTGAGTTGACTTTTTGTTGTTTCTTAAACAACAAAACAAGCCCATATTTGTTGAAATATTAATTCATGAACTGTAAAGGATTTTGAATTACGTTTGCGGGGACCATGGTATCAGGACAAGAATTATGTAGCTATTAGTGAAAATGGATACATAGGAATTATCTGGGTAATTGGTATTTGATGAAAGTAGCACATGATAAAAGGATAGAAATTAAAAGAGAATAATTCCAAAGCCATGATGTTATCCCAATGATACATAAAATTAGTGCTTAGATAAAAACTCCTTATAAATATTGGAATGTCAAGAGAAAAAAAAACTTGAAAATAATCCAGAGGCAACTTACTTTGGTAATTGGAATTCCTTCTAATAATCCTGTCATTATAGTTCTTTATACATACAATAGCAACAAGTAAATGTTCACTCAGAGGGGAAAATAAATTGATATTAGATTGCCTACTGAATATTATTTATAATTTTTCTTTATTATTTACCTTTTCTTTTTATTGGTGATTATCAACATTCAAACATATTTAAGGCTCTTTCTCATTTGACAAACTCTATCTTAATAAATAGCACTGCCTGTCATCCAGTTGACTAATCCAGAATTCTAGCCATCATTTTGCATCCTTCATCCCACACTCACTCATTTAACATATATGAATTGAGCTCTGTGTTCAAGATGCTATTATTATAAATATGTTAAAAAACACTTCTGGCCGGGCGCGGTGGCTCACGCCTGTAATCCCAGCACTTTGGGAGGCCGAGGCGGGCGGATCACGAGGTCAGGAGATCGAGACCATCCCTGCTAAAACGGTGAAACCCCGTCTCTACTAAAAATACAAAAAATTAGCCGGGCGTAGTGGCGGGCACCTGTAGTCCCAGCTACTTGGGAGGCTGAGGCAGGAGAATGGCGTGAACCCGGGAGGCGGAGCTTGCAGTGAGCCGAGATCCCGCCACTGCACTCCAGCCTGGGCGACAGAGCGAGACTCCGTCTCAAAAAAAAAAAAAAAAAACACTTCTTCTCTACTTATTCCTAATCAGTTGTCAAGTTCCACTTTGCCACCTTTAAACATATTTTTCTGTCACCATCTAGAAATGTGTGTGTGTATGAGCTCTTTTGCCTATAGAAATATGGTTGTGTATATATATATATGTGTGTGTATATATATATGTGTGTGTATATATATATATGTGTGTGTGTGTGTTTTTCCCCTTCACCATCCCCCATAGCTGTAAGTTTCCTGAGGCCTCTCCAGGAGCTGAGCTGATGTCAGCATCATGCTTCCTGTACAGCCTGCAGAACTGTGGGCCAATTAAACATATTTTCTTTTTTCTTTCTTTCTTTTTTTTTTTTTTGAGACGGAGTCTCACTCCGTCTTGCCCAGGTTGGAGTGCAGTGGCACGATCTTGGCTCACTGCAACCTCTGCCTCCTGGGTTCAAGCGATTCTCCTGCCTCAGCCTCTCGAGTAGCTGGGACTATAAGCGTGCATCACTACGCCCAGCTAATTTTTGTGTTTTTAGTAGAGACGGGGTTTCACCATGTGGGCCAGGATGGTCTTGATCTCTTGAGTTCGTAATCCATACCCCTCAGCTTTGCGAAGTGCTGGGATTACAGGCATGAGCCACCGTGCCCAGCCAACATATTTTCTTTACAAAATACCTAGGCTCAGGTATTTCTTTACAGCAGTACAAGGACAGACTAATGCAGAAAATTTGTATTAAGGAATGCGGCATTGCTATAAAAATACCTGAAACATGTAAGTGACTTTGGAACTGGGTAATAGGCAGAGGCTGGAAGGGTTTGGAGGGCTCAGAAGAAGAGAGAAAAATGAGAGAAAGTTTGGAACTTCCTGGAGACTGGCTAACTGGTTGTGAACAAAATGTTGCTAGTGATATGGACAGTAAAGGCTAGGCTGAAGAGGTCTCAGATGGAAATGAGGAACTAATTGTGACCTGGAGCAAAAGTCATTTTTGTTATGCCTGAGCAAAGAAACTGGCTGTGTTGTGCCCCTGCCCTAGGGATCCATGGAACTTCGAACTTCAGAGTGGTGATTTAGGGTATGTAGTGGGAGAAATTTCTGAGCAACAAAACGTTCAAGAGGTAGCCTGGCTGCCTCTAACAACCTGAGCTCATACACATGAACAAATAAATGACCTGAAATTGGAACTTCTATTTAAGAGAAACAGAGTGTAAAAGTTAGGAAAAATTTGCAGCCTGGTCATGTGGTAGAAAAGAAAATCCCATTTTAAGGGGAGGAATTTAAGCCAGATGCAAAAATTTGAATAAGTAAAGAGCAAAGAGATAATGGCCAAGATGATTGATGGGGAACAGGCCTTGAGGGCATTTCCAAGACCTTTGTGGCAGCCCCTTTCATCACAGTCCAGGAGGCCTAGGGGAGAAAAATGGTTTCATGGGCCAGGCCTAGGTCCCTGCTATCCTGTGCAGCCTAGGGACAGTGCTCCCTGTATTTTAGCCACTCCAGCTCCAGCCATGGGTCAAAGGGGCTCAGGTACAGCTCAGGCCTTTACTTCAGAGGGTGCAAGCTATAAGCCTTAGAGGCTTCCATATGGTGGTAAGCCTGTAGGTATGCAGAATGTAGGAGCTGAGGTTTGGGGGCCTCCATCTTGATTTCAAAGGATGTATGGAAAAGCCTGGATGTCCAGAGAGAAGTCTGCTGCAGGGGCAGAGCACTCATAGAGAACCTCTATTAGAGCAGTGTGCAGGGGGAAATGTGGAGTTCAAGCCCCCCACACAGAGTCCTCACTGGGGCACTGCCTAGTGGAGCTGTGAGAAGGGGACTGTCATCCTTCAGACCCCGGAATGGGAGATCCACTAGCAGCTTGCACCATGTGCGTAGAAAAGCCAACGACACTCAACATCAGCCCATGAGAGCAGTAACGGGATAAACCCTGCAAAGTGACGGACCTGCCCAATGTCTTGGGAGCTCACTACTTGCATCAGTGTGCCCTGGATGTGAAACATGAAATCAAAGGAGATTATTTTTGAGCTTTAAGATTTAATGACTGCCCTACTGGGTTTTGGACTTGCATGCGGCCAGTAGCCCCTTTGTTTTGGCTGATTTCTCCTTTTTGGATTGGGAATATTTACCCAATGCTTGTACCTTAAGTGTATGTTGGAAGTAACTAACTTGTTTTTGATTTTACAGGCTCATGGGAGAAAAGGACTAGCCTTGTTTCAGAGGACACTTTGGACTGTGGGCTTTTGAGTTAATGCTGGAATCAGTTAAGACTTTGGGATCTGTTGGGAAAGCATGATTAGTTTTGAAATGTGAGTAGAACATGAGATTTGAGAAGAGGCAGGGGTGAAATGATATGATTTGGATCTGTGTCCCTACCAAATCTCACGTCAAATTGTAATCCCCAGTGTTGGAGATGGGGCCTGGTGGGAGATGATTGGATAATGGGAGCAGTTCCTCATGAATGGTTTAGCACCATGCATTTGGTGCTGTTCTCATGATAATGAGTTACGTCTCATGATATCTCATTGTTTAAAAATGTGTACCACTTTCTGTCTTCTCTCTTGCTCCTATTCTGGCCATGTGATGTGTGTGCTTCCCCTTCCCCTTCTACCATGATTGTTAGTTTCCTGAGGCCTCCCCAGGAGCTGAGCAGATGCCAGCATTATTCTTGTACATTCTGTGGAACTGTGAGTCAATTAAGCCTCTTTTCTTTATAAATGACCCAGTCTCAGGTATTTCTTTATAGCAGTATGAGAACAGACTAATACAATCATTTAGCTGTCCTTGAGAGAAAGTAGATATTCTTGGAAGAGCTTTTGATTTTAGTCATGACTGCCTTTTTGTATTTTAAACTCTCCCTCTTTCTTTTATCCAAATATAATGGAATCATATCTTTAAATTCAGCAACTCCTTTATTTGCCTCCAGGTCCTTGAACTTTGTTTCTTCTGTTTCAAGCTTCCATTTATTCAGCTGGCTAATTGCTACCAAACCTTCTGACCCTAGTCTTTGTATTGCCTCATTGGGAGGAAATGGCCTAATGTACCTGTGGTACACTTTCCAATTAGACTTGTAGTTCCTTTCAAAGAGTTCATTGTGTTGTAAATGCATGCTGAATTTCTATAGTCTCTATGTTAGGATTATTTTCTATGGAAGGATTTATACAGATATAAAATGAAAATATGTTAAATATTTCATTTAATTATTAAGATGATGTTTTAACCAGTGGGATGGAGAATTCAAAGAACAGACACATTTACAGTTCAGGAATTCAAACGAGTATGTAAATGGAGGCAATGAAGGATTTTTACATGGGGGTGGATGGAAGCCAATTGAACCTCCAATGGGCAGAATTTTGTATATCTATTAGCAATAATTATTTTGCGTTGCCATCAGATATCTGTAAGTTGACTGAGTGGTAAAATAGCTCAAATAGAAGAAAAGATTAAAATTGGATAATCTGGAAAAATGTGATCTACAATGCACATGGAATCCTTTTTTTCCCTTCATTCAGTAAATTGGCAACTCCAAGGAAATAAGGAATCTGTCACCTTGTTCACAAGATATTTTCCTATAACCTATCAAAGTGCCTACCTTAAAATAGTTATAATATTTTTCATTAAAAATTAGATAATATCTTCCAAATTTTTCACTATAGCCCATGTCTCTTTCTTAAGAATTAAATAAATGTCTAATTTCTTCAGTAGATAGTCCATCTTCATACACACAAGCACCTCAAACACAGCATTATCAAAATTATATCTTGTTTTCATTAAAACAGTTGTTTCTTCAGTATTCCAGATCAGCTAATATTTATGTGTTCCAGAGGAGTTAACGATAGAATAAACTATCTGAACTCCCAGAATTTAAACCTATGTGTCAGCTTGGAACTATCCACCTGGCATCTTAATTGCATATAGATACAGTTAATTTTTCCATTTTATAAACTTAAGATTTTTCCTGACATAGCTCCAAGTGTTTACATTGTGAAAACTGTGAAGCTTCTGTACAGTTCACGTGATTCTGTGATTCTCTGCCTTTTGCATCCTATAATACTTAAGATTCTATTCACCTGCTAAGCCCCATTTTAATAATTTTTTCTGTGAAGATTGAACTTAGGTCAAACCCAGTCTGCTTCACTCTGTGCTTCTTTCCACACGAAGAATAGCTTATGTCAAACTTTGTGCTACCACAATGCATGACACTTGGCACATTCATTTACTGTGGTACTTCACCGGCTTCCTGGAATTATTTTGATTAAAAGTTTATTTCCTTTACTCATCTATAAGGTTTCAGAAGTTAGAAAACTTACACTGCTTATCTTTGAAACTCACTTGACTAACAACAAATAAATCAAAAGAATAAATAATACAGGAGCAGAAAAAATCAATTCCTCTTATTTTATAAAAGAGAACAGTCTATATCCACATACTGAAGAGTAAAACAGCCTTTTAAAATATGATATACTAGGGGAAAAATAAAAGTTCAACTAAATTTTTGGAGGTTTCAAAGCGTTTTCTATCTCAAAAACCATAATGATGAAAGAAACACATATAGGGCATTCATGATTGTAATTGGTGCTAAACCATGACCAACAGCTTTTTGCTTAAAATTGATATTGTAAATGTTTCAGTCACTATAGAATAAAAGACATGAAAGGAGATTTTATCTAGAAATACAGCTTTCTAAAAAGCAGTCATATAATTTGTTTTTCTTTTCCAACAATGCAGTGTCAAATTGCAGTGTAATAGCACAGCATGGAGGCATTGATGATGGTCCATGAGACATCGCTGATGGAGTCTGAGCTGTAAGGGCTAGCATATGACTTCAGCTCCTCCTAAACCTCTTCTCTTAGAGGAAGACTGTGGAAATATTGTACAGCATAATCATATTTTGCAGAATATGACACACTGTCTAAGGCAGAATGGCAGAGTATATTTGTATTTTATTTTAAAAAAAGTAAGAGTTTTCCAACAAGTTCTCTTTCCCCATAGTTCCAACCACTGACCTGTACAAAGCAGTTTGTCACATCTCATTCTTTGTGTCTTTTTCGCTACTATCTTTACTATTGCAGTCAGTTTCGACTCCAGTCATGCAAATTTTCAGCAGGAGCATAGATATTCTATATTTATAATAGAAATTTATCAGTGTTTAGTCAGAGATGGAATAAGAAATATGAATTCAAACTACTCCAACATTTTACTGAGTGAGTTGTACAAAACATTAGTACTGTGAGATTTCAGCATTTTAGGGTAAATTTTAGATAAAATTAAGCAATTCCTATTTTAAACATTTTTAAGAGTATTTAATATAATGTGCTTTCTAAATTTCTACAGGAACAAAGAGCAAAACTTTTATTCAGTTATATTTGATGATGTAACCTTTTCCTTAGGAAGAAATTCCAGGCAACAATATTTTATAGACTATGCTAGGAAATGATTTTCTTCCCATATAGTCTTGTTTTGAAAACAAATATAGACAAAAGCACCTCATCTGTTAGCATATAATACTGCTGATATTTTCTTATTGTTACTCTTGCAATTTCCATTTCTAGAAACGTAACTAACAAAAGTACAAACAGACACATAAAGTATGTTTTTCTATCGTTCATCTGGTTATTAATAATCTTGGCCAGGCTTGCTTTTCTGTAGATTTCCCCAAAGATTTCAGGGCTTGATTTTCATATGATCTGAGCCAGGAACTCATCATTAGTCAGTGATCAAACAGAAGCTATGCTTTGCTGAACATTGGGAAAATGTATATGAATTTATTTTTAATAAAGAGAAAAGGAAGAAAAAAAACAAAATAAGAGGACAAATAATATTAACAGTTTTTAATTGATTGTTTACTCTGTGCCATTGACTATGCTAAGTCACTGAAATTATCTCATTTACTTTTCACAAGAACTCTAGGGTAAAGATATTACCATTCCCTCCATGTTACAGATGAGAAGACTCAGCATTCTGTAGGTTATATGATTTGACAGTGCCCTCCCAGTAAGAAACAAAGCAAGATTCTAACCGAGGTGAGCTGATCCTGAAGCCCACATTCACTGATGATCAGTGTGTTGCCTCATACCAGCCCTCACTATCACTATGCAATGCTTAGAAGCAAGAGCGATTGGTTCAGTTGGCCTCATTCATGAATGAAGCTTTGTAGAGTTAAGTCTAGAAGAAAACCTAAAAGAGATGAGAGAGGAGGCTTGCTGCCTGATTCATTGCTACCATCTTTGATATAAGGAAAGAAAGTTCCCTTGAGTTGCCAGTTTTATTTTATGCCTTTTCCCTGGGGAATCCTTAGTGTGTGGAATGCAGTTAGTGTGGAGATGTGGTGAACCATGAGGTCTCCATTCTATGAAACGCATGGTGTTCTTTTAACAAACTCAGGTATTAGCCTTTAGAACATTGCCAGAACTATGGAAGTTGTCATGTTCTCATCACCTCTAAAGCCATGGCTGCCCCCATACAGTCACAGACGCTTAAGAAGTCCTTCCTCCAAGCCTAAGAGTGAAGTGATAAAGGTATGATGAACATTCCAACAAGCTGTAGTAGTTCAATGATGGTTTGGACACATGACCAAGACCATCCCACAAATCAGACCAACATACAAAATATTTTGTACGCAATCTCCAACAATAAAAGAAAAAAAAATTAGTGATCTAACCATCCCAGACAAGAAGTTGGCTTCTACACAAATTGCCTCTTGTAAATAATTTTCTACAAATTCAGGTTCTTGGGTATTTTTTGTTTTTGTTTTCTCTAGCAATGGCTCATTAGTCAGGGATAGTAAACATTCTCATTTTGATAACTTGAAATATAGTCCTTTAAACCAGTGTTTCCCCAATCTCCATTCTTAATCTTTCTATTTGTTCACTGGCAAAATTATCAAAATAGTACTATTACCTACAGTGCTTTTTCTTCCAGTCTCAACTTACTCTTTGTTATTTTTCCTCCTACAAATTTGCTGAAACTACAGCCTTTGAGAGCTCAATTCACCAACGACCTACTAATTAACAAATTCAATGGTCTCTTCTAAGTTCTTATTTGACTAGTTTTCTCTACAGTAATCAAAATCACAGATCACTTGTTCCTTCTTGAAAAGCTCTTATAACTGGAAGAAGAAAATGAATGTCTCTTTCCCATAGAGAGCCTGGGGAGAAGAATGACCCTTGGCTGAAAATGTAATCAAGTACTTATAAGAAGTAATTTCAAGGCTTCCACCTGCTCTTAGTGTAGCTAAGGTAGCAGGTTGTAAAAGATATATGGTTTAGCATTAGCCATTTATTATTCCAGGTAGACCTGAAATAGCATGTTTTAAAAGGAGGTTGGGGAGCCGAAGGAGAAGAATTATCATGGCACTGCATAACAATGAGACTATGCTAACTCTATTGCACTCAGGTGAACTTGTGAGTTATAAGGCAGTTAAAAATGTGTTTGTTTTTCTTATTTAGGCTTGACACTATTTTGAAAGATCTATGCATATGAATAAGTGCATATGAGAGAGAAACAGAGACAGACAGATATAACAGATAACAACTGGAAAGTTGGAGAAACAAAATGTTTGTGAACCCATCTGACCTTTGGAAAACAACTACAGGATCCAGATTTAAAGTTCCCAGGACCACTCCTGGATTGCATGAAAAAACTGCAAAAATAGGCAATTCCTGAGTGTTTCTTTTAATGTCTACATGGTTTTATTCCAGCTTTGATACGACTAGACTGATGACACTTAATCCTAGATGGGACCAACCTTAATAGATTTGCTGTAAAGGAATATAATTTTTCTAAAATTCATCTAAAAACAATGAGCATATCAACAAAGGTTTTAAATATGTTTATATATCTGTTTCTTCTTCACCAATTTTCGAACTCTTGGAGCACAATCATTCTACCTTTAATAAGTACCTTTAAAATATCAGACATTTTTCATACATCATCTTATAAAATATAAAAGATTCTTTAAAAATAAGCATTTTAATTCCAGTTTACATCTGAACATTCAGCCCAAAATTCCCTGATGAGTAACTAGCTCAGGGAAGAAAAATAGATCTCAACTTTCTTGCAAACACCTATCAATTTATTCGGGCTGCAGATGAATAATTAAAAACAGTCTTTGGTTGTATCTCTATTCAATGAGAAAGACTCCCCATGCATCAGTAATATCTGCTTTAACCTCAGAAGGAAAGGGAAACTGATCACTAGCAAGTATTGCTATCATTGTACAAGTTCAAAATTAGAAAGCAAGAATATGAGTGTATGGACATGTTTATTTACAGAGAGATGGAAGAGAGGGCTGAACAGGATTTGAGCTCACATACATGCTCCTCTCAAGGAGAGCTATTTCCACTATCACTAATTTAATTTTAAAATATGGGAAAGATATAAGTGTTTTGATGAGTGCATGATTAATGAAAAATATCATGGTAAGAGCGGACTCAGGAAGCATTAGTTCAAATTAAAAGTATCCTAATGGATAATACTATATGAAAAATTATGACTAATGGAGCAGAAGTTGGAGAGGAGTCAGCTCTCCATTTCCTTTTTTTGTTTTTGTCTTTCCCAGACTGGTTTTACCATTTTTGTATCTAGTGCTCTTTGTGAGCTTAAGGATAAAAATATACACAAATGTTTTGACGTATTACCACCACAAAACCAAGAAAATAAAATACTCCTGAGTTTACATAGTCTTCTCCTTTTGGGCACCGGTTCATACTTTTCAAAATAAATTGCACTAAAATCAAAAATAATATGTAGTTTCTTTAACATTTCTATTTATAAGCAAATGTTTTATAAAATAAAATTTATTTGCTATGAAGTTAATTCTGCCCTACAGATGAATATATTAAATAAAATAACTAAAAGATGAAATTCAATACCAATTAAGTTGAAGAAAATGAAGACATTCAAATTCCCCAAATTACAGTGTCTTTTATTTTAAAGCAACAATGCTACTGACACTGTGGTTCTGTCTTCCAAAGCTTAGACATTGGCTGGCAAGGAGAGCTGGTAATTTGCAAAATTAGAAATATGCTTTCTACACCACTTACAGTTCAGTTAAATGAGTTTATAAAAGTGTTACCACAAGGAGGCGGAGCGAGATGGCCAAATGGAACCCTCTAGTGATTGTTCTCCCCACAGAAGTAACACATTGAACAACTATCCACGCAGAAAGCACCTTTATAGAAATCACATATAACATAATGACAAGGAAAGAAGCGTCGAAGAGGATAGGAAGGATAATCTTGCATTGCCTATACACCCCTTCCCCAGCCTCAGGCAGAGCAGCAGGGAGAGAGAACCTGTGTGCTTGGGGCAGGGAGAGTGAAGTGAGTGTGGCACCTTGCATTGGAACTCAGTGCCACCCTGATACAGTAAAACACAACGTCGGGCAGAATTCCACTGTTCCACTGAGAGAGCATTTAGATCAGTCCTGGGCCAGAAGGCAATCCTCCACCCCAAGGGTGGGAACCCAAGTTCTAGCCCACTTCACCACTGCTAACTAAAGTAGGTTGGGGTCCTGAATAAATTTGAGATGCAGTTAGGCCACAGCAATTGCAATTGTTGAGCAGGCCCCGGTGCTGTTCAGACCTTGGAGACTTTGGCCTTAGGGTGCAACCCAGTGAGATGCAAGCTGCAGCTGTCAAGGAAGTCCACGCATCACCCCTCTTTCAACTCCAGGCAGTGAAACACAGGGAGAGACCCCTTCTACTTAGGGGAAGAAAAGGCAAAAGTACAGAGAACTTTGTCTTATAGCCAGATACCAGCTAAGCCACAGCAAAATAACACACTATGCAGACTCCTGAAACACCCAGTTCCAGGACTTTGCTCCTAGATGTTATTTCTAGACACATCCCAGAACAGAAGGGAATCCACTGGCCCTGGTGGGACAGACAGTTTCAGCAGAATTCACACCGGCTGACGAGAATGGCCTTGGTCCTTGAATAAACATCAGTGGCAGCCAGGCAGTCGTTGCCATGGGCCTTGGGGGAGCCCCAGTGCTGTGCTGGTCTGAGAAGATATGGGCTTCAGGGGCAACACAGCACAGTGCCAGCTGTGCCCATGAGAGTGCTCATATTATCCTTCCTCCAATTCCAGGCACTCCAGCACAGAAAAAGACTCCTTGTGGGAAAGGAAGGAAAGAAAGCAAAGGACTTTTGGGGAATCCAGGAAATTCTCCCTCATCTTCTCCAAGTCCACCAAGGCTATGTATTTAGGGGGCTGCAAGAGTCACGGCATATGTGGGCTTGGGGCATCACCTAGTACTGGAATGGCTGAAGTGACCACAGGCTAGGAAATAAAACGCAATCCCCTTTGAATTCTTGGATTCCTCTCAAGAATGATAGGCACAAACAAGGCCAAACTACAAAAACTGGAATAAATAACTTCCAGATTTTATAAAATAAAATCTCTCTATGCCCAGAAATAAACAAATGTCTATGAGCATCAAGAACATCCAGAAAACTATGACCTCATCACATGGAGTAAATAAGTCACCAGTGACCAGTCGTGGAGTGATGAAGATATGAAATCTCTCAGACAAAAAAAATTCCAAAAGCTTTGTGAAGAAGCTCAATGACCTTCAAGACAACCCAGAGAAGACATGCAGAATTTTATCAGAGAAATTTCACAAAGATATTGAAATAATTTTTAAAAATCAAACAAAAATCCTGGAGCTGAAAAATTCAATTGACAAACTGAAAAATGCATCATAATGCCTCAAAAGCATAATTGATCAAGCAGAAAAAATAATTACAAAGCTTCAAGATAGGCTATTTGAAAATATACAGTCAGAGGAGAAAAAAGGGTCATGAACAAGAAATAATGGAGTGTACTAGCAAAATCTACAAAATAGCCTCAAAATGATAAATCTACAACCAGACTGAAGGTAGTTCTTCAGTGTGAAAGAATAGGACACCAAAAAAAAAAAATCACTAAAGTTATAAAACTCACTGGTAGATTAAGTACACACACAAGTACTAAATACTCTAATACTATAATTGCAGTGCATAAACCACTCATATATTTAGTATGAAGACTAAAAGGACAACCTATTGAGGCCAGGCATGGTGGCCTATGCTTGAAATCCCAGCACTTTAGGAGGCCGAGGCGGGCAGATCACAATATCAGGAGTTCAAGACCAGCCTGGCCAACATGGTGAAACCCCATCTCTACTAAAAATACAAAAAATTAGTGGGGCATGGCAGTCCGTGCCTGCAATCCCAGCTGCTCAGGAGGCTGAGGCAGGAGAATCACTTGAACCTGGGAGGCAGAGGTTGCAGTGAGTCGAGATCCTGCCACTGCACTCCAGCCTGGACAATAGAGCAAGACTCCGTCTCAAAAAAAAAAAAAAAAAAGAAAAAAGAAAAAGAAAAACTCATCAAAAACAATAATAACCACAGAAATTTGCTTAAAGACATAAATAGATAATGAAAACGTTTTTTTTTTCTTAAAGCAATCTCATTTACAATAGCTACAAATAAAATAAAATGCATAGGAATAAGCTGAACCAAAGAGGTGACATATTTCTCCAATGAAAACTATGAAATATTGACATACAAAATTGAAGAGGACAGAGAACATAGAAAGATATTTAATGTTCACAGATTGGAAAAATCTTATTGTTAAAATGTCCACGTTACCTAAAGCAGAGATTCAATGCGATACCTATCAAAATAATAATGATGTTCTTCACATAGATAGAAAAAAAAATCCTAAAATTTACGTGGAACCACAGAAGACTAAAAATTGCCAAAGTCATCCTGAGCAAAAAGAACAAGACTGGAGGGATCACAATACCAGACTTCAAATTATACTATGCTATAGTAACCAAAATAGCGTGGCAGTGGTATTAAAACAGACACATAGACCAATGGAACAGTATAGGGGACAAATAAATAAATCTACACATTTACAGTCGACTCATTTTCAACAAAGGTGTCAAGAACATCCATTGGGGAAAAGCCAGTATCTTCAAAAAATGGTGCTGGGAAAACTGGATATTCGTAGGTACAAGAATAAAACTAGACACCATTGTTCCTCATATACAAAATCAATTCAAAATTATTAAAGAGTTAAATCTAAGACCTGATGCAACAAAACTGCTAGAAGGAATCATTGTGGAAATGCTACAGAACATTGGTCTGGGCAAAGATTTTTTGAGTAAGACCTGGAAAGCGCAGGCAACCAAAGCAAAAATGGGCAAATGGGATCACATCTAACTAAGAAGCTTCTGTACAGCAAAGGAAACTATCCAGAAACAGGATGGGAGAAAATATTTGCAAGCTATTTAACTTTTATGGGATTAATAACCAGAATATATAAGGAGCTGAAAAACTCAATAACAAAATAACAAAGAATCTAATTTTAAAATGGGCAACATAGTTAAATAGACATTTTTCAAAAGATAAGAATGGCCAACAGGTATATGAAAAAATGCTCAACTTTCCTAATCATCAGAGAAATGCAAGTCAAAAACAATGAAATATCATCTCTCTCCAGTTAAAATGGCTTTTCTCAAAAAAAAAAAAAAAAAAAAGGATGGCAGCAAGTATATGGAGAAAGGGGAATGCTCATACACTGTTGGTGGGAATTTAAATTAGTTCAGCCACTATGGAAAACAGTATGGAAGTTTCTAAGAAAATTAAAAATAGAACAACCATATGATCCAGCAATGCCACTGCTGCCAATATATTCAAAAGAAATGAAATTAATACATCCAAGAGATATTTGCACTCCCATGTTTATTGCAGCTCTACTCATGGTAGTCAAGATATGAGATCAACCTAAGTGTCCATTAATGGATGAATAGATAAAGAAAATGTAGTATATATACACAATGGAATATTATTCAGCCATAAAAAGAATGAAGTCCTGTCATTTGCAACAGCATCAATGGAACTGGAGGACGTTACATTATGTTAAGTGAAATAAGCCAAACACAGAAAGACAAACATTGCATGTTCTCCTTCATATACTGGCATTGCAAATTTGATCTCATGGAGGTAAAAAGTAGAGTGATGGTTACCAGAGGCTCTAAAGGGTACTGAGGAGGAGAGGTTAAAGAGGGGTTGATTGATGGGTACAAAAATACAGTTAGAAGAAATAAGATCTAGTGTTTGGTAGCAAAATGTGACAACCATAGTTAAAAATTCCTTCCTTCCTTCCTTCCTTCCTTCCTTCCTTCCTTCCTTCCTTCTTTCCTTCCTTCTTTCCTTCCTTCTTTCCTTCCTTCCTTCCTTCCCTCCCTCCGTCCGTCCTTCCTTCCTTCCTTCCTTCCTTCCTTCCTTCCTTCCTTCCTTCCTTCCTTCCTTCCTTCCTTCTTTCTCTCACTCTATCACCAGGCTGGAATGCAGGGAGTATAATGACGTGATCTCGGCTCACTGCAATCTCCGCCTCCCGGGTTCAAGCAATTCTCTGGCCTCAGACTCCCAAGTAGCTGGGACTATGGGTGTGCGCCACCACGCCCAGCTAATTTTGGTATTTTTAGTAGAGATAGGGTTTCACCATGTTGGCCAGGATGATCTCCATCTCTTGACCTCTTGATCTGCCCACCTCGGCCTCTCAAGGTGCTGGGATTACAGGCGTGAGCCACCTCACCCGACCTTATTGTGTATTTCAAAACAACTAGAGGAGTGAATATGGAATGTCGAATGTTCCCAACACAAAGTCAGGGTAAACGGATATCCCAAGTACCTTCATTTGATCATTACCCATTGTATGCTTGTATCAAAACATCACATATATCCCATAAATATATACAACTGTCTGTTTTTTTTTTTTTTTTTTGACACTGTCACTCTGTTACCCAGGCTGGAATGCAGTGGTATGATCTCAGCTCACTGCAACCTCCACCTCCCGGGTTTAAGTGACTCACCTGCCTTCACCTCCCAAGTACCTGGGACTACAGGTGTGTGCCACCACACCTGGCTAATTTTTGTATTTTTAGAGAGACAGGGTTTCACTATGTTGGCCAGGCTGGTCTCAAACTCCTGACCTCAGGTGATCTGCCTGCCTCGGCCTCCCAAAGTGCTGGGATTACAGGTGTGATTCACCGTGCCCGACCTATACAACTCTTATGTACCCATAATTTTTTTAAAAAAAGTTAAAATTTAACCACAATAGAACAACTGGTCTTTTTTCGTCATGGTGAACCCTGAAAATTTGAGCATAGATGAATTATGTAGTTATTCTTTTTACTTGCTTGCCCTATCCATTTTTGCTCTCATCACCTCAGGTGTCACCCCCTTTTGTTATTGTCCCTAGGGACCCGATGCTGGCTGGTTTATGATTAGGTTTAACACAGGGAAAGCACCAACATGAGACTGGAGGGCAGGAGTGAAGATTCTCCATTCTCCTTTGCTTTGAGGATGCTCTTTTTTTTTTTTTTGTCTGCAACTGCTTTTCTCCACAACTACTTGGGTAGCCCTTTCGCTGGTAGTTCAAGTTCCCCTTGAGGAACTGTAAAAATGTTTCCTATCCTTTTTTTCTTCAATCTATGGGTAGAAAGATGCTCTGACATTGCTAGTATCTGGATGCCTCACTTGCTATACCTTTTTTGTTTCCTTAACTCTGCCTGAAGCTTTTGAGAAATCTTTTCAATGGGTTAAGTTTTATTTCCTTTTTGGGACTATGATCAACCCAGATTGTGTTCCTGGTTTTGGTGGTCTTTTTTATTTTTTTTTTATTCCTAAGACTTGTAAATTTGTTTGTGTTTATGCTCTGGGTTTAGCATCTCTAGTCCACACACTGTCCTTAGTGCTCAAGGACACTTTGTTCCATTTGTTCCTCTCATTTCTTCCTTTCTCCTTCCACCCATTTAAAATAAGTTTTCTCTGTAGCACATTTCAATTTTGTCTGTCATTTTAATTCACCATAGGGTTCAAATGTGTGAGAATAGCTGATAAAAGATCAAAGTGCTCCCTCCTAGGTAATATCCTAATATTTCTATTGAACAGTAGTGATGTATTGAGAATAGTCCTGAAATTTAAGGAAAAAGATCAGCATCTGAGCTCAGCTCTGGCATTAATTATTTCACATTACAAGGATCTATTAAACATCTATTCTTCTGTGGCAGAGCAAAATAATGTGCTTATGAAGGTGAAGCAAATAGTTTCTAAACCTAAAGCGGATTTGAATGTATTTTATTTCTTCTTTCTCTATGAGCCTTTATTTTCTTTTTATTTCCTTTTATTACCATGCAGTGATTTTTCTGTGGGGGCAGTAACTACCATAGCTTGTACCTATTACTTAGTACTTACATAAATATGTGTAAAAGTGAATTAACTTTTCTCTACTTTAAGTTGAAGAACATATGTTCTAAGTTCTCGCTTACATGAAATTTTCAGGACCAGCTGTTTATTTGTGGCACTACCAAAAATATATTGATAGATTGATATGCTTAAATTGTACTCTCTTTAGATAAAACAAGTAACTTGGTTAATATCTTTGGAATCACCCAGGAAATTTAAAGAATATTAAAATGCTCATTCATTCAGATTTATTTTTAATACAATCTAATGTTTAATCAAATTATCAATAGTTATTTAAAGGTTTGCATCATGCAGACATAATGTTTTTTTGTGGAGGGGAGAGGCAGTGGATATATTTGAAAAATAACAAAGAATAAATTCTACAATATTTCCATTTGGCTTTTAAAAGTTATTACAGGTTTCAAATTCACATTACCCTATTTGTAGAATAATTTCACCCATTGAGTAGACATATTGTATTTTTTAATATTTCAAGATAATTTTGAAGGGATGAAAATAAATGTATACAAATTATAATGATTTCATATAAAATTATTTTATTACAATTGATGAAGTTTTCATTTGCTCCCTCAAACATAATTTAAGTATCTGAGCATTAGAGCAATAAGCTATTCTTTTATAGTTTATTGATATCCACTGAAATATCAATGTGTAATTTTGCTCTGTTCAGATAGTATTTCATCATATCATATGATTCCATTGTTCTTGAATCATTGGGCTGTTTCCTAAGATAGAAAATAAAATTAACCTGGCTTTATGTATTTCTTTGCTACTCTTTCGATAAAGGCTGATAGTGAAACAGTTAAGTAAATACAAAGTTTCTAAGAAGATTCACTGAAGTGCATATGATCTAACATAATGTGCTTCACAGAAACTAGAAATTGGATTAATATTGCTTGCTCATGCTTGAAGCACAGAAAATTGCTCAAAGGCAGATGGATGGAGAGTGAAAATCTAAAAATAAAATTCCCAGTGGAAATGAGGATTTTCACAGTACAGATTGGTTTCGTCTAGGATATAAGTCTCATGGCATGGACGAAAACCTTACAAGCAGGGCACTTATGAATATTGTAAATCATATGTATGTATGTTTGTGTATGTGTGTGTGTGTGTGTGTGTGTGTGAGAGAGAGAGAGAGAGAGAGAGAGAGAGAGAGAATAGGTCTAAAAGACATATAAATTAAAGAACAACAGAGTTAAAACTATTCATCATTTGTGGCAAAGTGTCATTATTTATTGATATAACCTATGATTTCTTTTATAGACTTCCAGCAGCAGGCATTCAAAATTTGAACTAGTATGATTTTAATGAAAAAAAAATGCAATGAACTTTGGCATGATTTTTATTGTTTTATTTTAATAAAATCTATATGGTGGATATGTTCCCCTTATGGTTTATATTTACTAACTTCTGGAGTGTAAATGCTGCAGTTTTAATACCTGCAGATAAATCAGCTCAACTGTGTATAATGTGATAAATGATCACAGCAATTATGAAAAAAATAATGAATTCTAAATTAAAATTTATTGAAAAATATCACATTGTGTATAGCACTGAAATAAATTCCTAACCAAAAAATGTGTTAAGTAATCAGATTTAATACATGTTTTATTATTTTTAAATATAATTTAATTAAATTAATTAATTTATTTATTTTTGAGATGGACTCTTGCTCTGTGGCTCAGGCTGGAGTGCAGTGGCATGATCTCAGGTCACTGCAACCTCTGCCTCCCAGGTTCAAGTGATTCTCCTGCCTCAGCCTCCTGAGTAGCTGGGATTACAGGCATAATCCACCACGCCTAGCTAATTTCTGTATTTTTAGTAGCAATGGGGTTTCACCATGTTGGCCAGGCTGGTCTCAAACTCCTGACCTCAAGTGATCCACCCACCTCAGCCTCCCAAAGGGCTGAGATTACAGATGTGAGCCACTGCACCCGGCCAGATTTAGTACGTATGTCTTAGTATAAGGACAATTCATAAAACTAGTGTTTTTTGTTGCTGACCACATATTATCTGCTAATTTAATATAGGCACAAAGTATAAAGTGTGCCCATTTATTAAGAATGCATTTATGTTTCTTCTCTTTAATTCTAGGAATTTCACTCAGGTAACTGTAGTTAATACTTTTATTAGTGATAAGACAATTAAATCACCTCATTTTCTTTATAGGAAAAAGGAGATATTGCTTAAAAATAATATTGTGTCTCCTCTCTCACCAATGCCAACCTATAACAAGTGCAAACACAATTCAATCATTTATTGCTAATTTATTTTATATTGACTTCATTTTAATAAACTTTAAATATATGAACTAAAATATTAAGAAAGTATTATGGGAGGGGTTATTAGATTATATTAAATAATACTCCCCATTAGGCTTTAATAACCAATTTGTAAGGGGTGAAGCTCTCTGTCACAACTTAAGAAGTTTCACTAAATTGACTATTTTTTGCTTATCTGTCCAGTGGTTCTATAAATTAGCTTTAGGAGAAATCATAAAATGAATTTTAAAGTTCTTTAGAGTGAAAAGAAAAAGGCTCCCAAGTGACCCAATAATGTTCTCAAGGCCCTTCCAAAGGCTGCTTCTTTGGTCCTAGACTCATCATGGATTTCCTGGTTGACCTTCAATGTTATCCAGTACCTTTGCCATAAATGGAAAGGATTGGTAATCTGCCAAGGCCTTTCTCAGGCTTATAAATCCATTTCTAGAAAAAGATTTGACAGTTATTCATCTTTACTGATAACAGGGCAACATTATAAAAAATAATAAAAAGAAAAATAAAACATTGACTTAAATTTCAGGAAGGTTTAGAAGGGTAAGAACACAAAGACAAGTCTTTTCTAAAAATAGAAATCTCTTAAAACACTTTTATATATGCCCACCTAAATGAATTTAGAATCAAGTTGGTTTTATCATATACAAAAGGAAGAGTATTAATATTTCTTCAAGTTTTATGAATTTAACATCATATGAAAGATATATCAAATAATATAAATTATGGAGAGATTGTCTTTAATATCAACATTACTATTAATTTGCCAAAAATTTCAGGGACTAATGCAATTTTTTTCTCAAGTCCTGGAATCAGTCTCTGTATACCAATAAATGAAAGTTATAGCTTCCTGTAGGGAATATAGTCCACGTTCAACATGCTCCCCCAATTACAATGAAAATATTTTTCTACTTTCTATTTTTCTTCCTAATTCTAGCATCAACTAAAGTTGTCCTTCTTCCTGAACATAGCATGAACAGTAAATTAGATTATAAAACTATATTTTGTTTATTAACCATTCCGCTAGTAAGAAATAAAATACCTTATTCTTTTCTTAGGAATTTTTACTTTTCCCCGTTTAAGAGGGGAAGATATTTCTGCTTAAGCAAAAAATGTTTTAGTCACAAAATAAAACATATCAGATGATAAAGATGTAAACATATATTCATTGGAATACTCATTTTGTTTGAGCAAATCATTTTAATTCAGAAATTGATCAAAAAGAACTTTACACCTAAAAAAGGAAAAAAACCTTAATTATAGAAATTTGAAAATTCTCATAAATCTGAATGCCCCTAGTTGAATTTTCTTGAGTCAAATTTACCAAGATTATTTCATTATGTTTGATTGAATGGTAAAGTAAATCACCTAAAAACTTAAAGAAAAATTAATAGTCTTATTTAATAAATCAATTATCATATATTTAGAAGAAATTTTGTTAAATTAGTTCATTATCAGTAATAACAGCTAGTTTTTGAAAAGATAACCTGATTATTATTCTGTATCTGTTTTATCTGAATATGTAATTTGTATATATTATTCTTATTATTTTAGATTCCTACATTCTATTCATTAACATTTCTTGAAAACATGTGTTAATTCTCACAAGTATTTAGGCATTAGTGGGAAAAAAAAAACCACCCAGAACTACCATAATTTTCTACCTTAGAAATCACTGCAATATTTTGCTATATTTTAAATCCCTTCTGGGAAGTATTTTTCTTTTTGTTAATTTGAAAATATAAAATAGTGCCCTTTACTTTACATAAAATAACATTTTCTTCAAACTTGGTACTTAGAGCACAGTTACATAACCAGAAATACAGGAAAATTGCCTCGTAAGATATTGACTGTCCCACAGCTTACACACTTAACCCGGAGAGTGACAAAACTGTTTGTCAGCAGTATAAGATTTTAGAATTGTTCATAAAATTAACTTTATTGGTTTAAGTAGCTTGGTTAGAAGGGACTGTAAATCAGAAGCCTCACCTGGAATCATTCAGGCTGGAAGGAGAGAGAACATTGCAGCTTTAACCTGTAGCTCTTATCTTTTGAAGTTGACTGAAAGAAAAGAAATTTATACAGAAAACAAAGCACAGAGTTTAGGTGATCATTTAAAGCAGGAAGCATATCACTTTAACCCTATGTTCTGAGCATCATCGTCATTCTGCTCCAGATAGCAAAAAGTATTAAGCAATTGAAAAAGTTTTGGAAATGTTTTTAAATATTTAGCCAAAAACAAAAGTTCCTAAGGAATAATGCATATAAAAAGGCATGTATTTATGGGAAAAATTTTATTCTGCACATACTCCAAAGTGATAGATGCGTGAGATCATTATTTTTAAATCACAACAATATACTGATACAACAAAAAGACTGACTTTAAAATAATATATAATATATAATAAAAATATACAAATAATATATATTATACAATATATTATATATGTAATACATATATTACATACTATATATAACATCATGTATTGCATATATTATATAATATATTATGTATATAATAGATGTATGATTTTGATGCTCAATAAATTTTTATTAGCAACGATAAAATAAGGCCCAATAACAGTAATTGTTTACAGTGAGATAAAGTAGTAGTCTAAGCAGACGTAAAGTCAAATAGAAAAAGAAAGAATAAGCATGTTGAAAATTAAATGAATGCATGGAATTTCATCAAAATGTCAAGTTCAACATAGCAATTAATAGTGTAACATAAAACAAATACATTTTCCATAAAACAAATTAATATACTCATTCATCAGAATAATTTATGAAACTCCTACTGTTATGCATCAGATGTTATCCAGGGTACAAAAGGTTGAAAGGCAGTTTTAAGGACAGAAGGAGACTGAAAATGTTTGAAGAAATTGTATGTAGTCTCTTGAATTTGTGGCAGTTTTCCAGTTGTCTTTTACTTCAGTATTATTATTGTGCTTTCTCCATGGGAGAAACTATCCATTTTAATTTTCTATTTGCTAAATGAATGAAATAGCATACTCAATTAGTTGCTTAATGCATATTTTTATTTTATAGCTTTATTGAGATATTACACATATCATAAAATTCACCACTTTAAAACACACAGTTGAATGATTTTTAGCATTTTCAAAGAGTGTACAACCATCATCAAAATCTACATTTGGAATACTTACCTGCTGCCCAAAAAGCCCCAAACACATTAGCAGCCATATTCCATCCTGGCTTCACATCCTGCACTCTCTCATTCAAGAACCCACTTCCAGCCTCAGCTCCAGAGAACCACTAATCTATTTTCTGTCTCTGGATTTACTTAGACTGGTATTTCACGTAAATAAAATTGTTCTTGATGTGGTCTTTGTGACAGCCTTCTTTCACTTAACACGACATTTTCAAGGTTCATCTCTATCGTAGTATGTATTAATATTTCATTATTTTTATTGTCAAGTAATATTTTATTGCATGATATAACATGTTATGTTTATTAATAGATATTAAACATTTTGTGTTTTCCCATATTTTGCCTATGAATAATGCTGCTATGTACTCTTATTTATACTTTTTTTATGTATCTAACTTTTCATTTATTTTGGGTATATACTGAGGAGTGAAATTTCTGGGTCATACGGTAAATTTGTGTTTAATTTCTTGGAAGAACTGTAAGTTTTTCAAAGTGGCTATGCCATTTTAACTTTCTACCAGTGATATATAAGGGTTCCAATATCTCCATATCTTCATCAAACACTTCTTATTTTCTGTCTCCTTTATTTTAAGCATTCCATCATATGAGAAGTGGTATTTCCTTTAGGTTTTAATTTGCATTTTCCTAATGACTAATGATGTTCAGCATCTTTTTATGTGTTTATTGGCCAATTGTATTTCTTTCTTTTTTCCTTTTAGCAATTTCTATTTAAATCCTTTGCCCATTTCATTACTTGTTGTTTTTATTGTTGAGTTATAGAATTACTTTATGTATTTTAGATACAAGGCCTTGGTCAAATGTGTGATTTTAAAATAGATTTTTCTCATTTTTCCACTTGACTTTTCACTTTTTGATTATGACCTTTGATGGGCAAAGTTTTCAATTTTGATTAATCCAAATTATCTTTTTTTATTTATATTGCCAGTTGTGCTATCGGTGTTGTATTTAAAAGATCACTGCCTAACCTGAGGTCATGAAGATTTACCCCTATGATTTCTTGTATAACTTTTATAATTTTGACAATTAGTTTGTGTCTATATACACCTTTGAGTTAATTTTTTTGTAGGATGAGATAGCAGTCTAGATTTGTTCTTGTGGATTTGGATATTCATTTGTCCTATCACTATGTATGAAAATATTACTTTTTTCTCCATTGAATTGTCTTGGCATCCTTTGTCAATTTATATTCAATTGATTTATAGTCAATTGAATATCAGTTGACCATAAGTATGAGTTTATTTCTGTAAACTCAATCGCATTCTTTTGATCAGTATGTTTATTCTCATGCCAGTATTGCTTTGCCTTGATTTCTATAATTTCTCATAAGTTTTGTATAATTTTTATCCCTTCAATTTATGAAGGCTTATTTTGTGGTCCAGCATATGGTCTGTCCTGGAGAATGATTTTATACACTTAAGAAGGATGTGTATTTTGCTGTTGTAGGGTGTAGTATTCTATACATGTCTGTCAAGTCTAGGGGTTTCTAATGTTGCTCAAGTCTTCCATTTCCTTGTTGATCTTCTGCCTAGTTACCTCATCTGTTATTGAAAGTGGGTTGCTGAAATATTCAACTATTATTGTTGAATGTTTTATTCTCATCCCCCACTGTGCAGCAGAGCTGAGTTCTCTGAGTTAAATACAAAACATCACCACAGTCTGAGATTAGAGATTTTGTAGTAATCTCCAAGTTCAAACAAAATATTGTCTGTGCTCTGGGAGTGATGCTTTGAAGGGAACTCCAGAAGAGGTTAAATCTCATTGTCTGCAGTACTTCTGTATTTTTGCTACTGTGCCATTGATCTGGGGTAAAAAGGAGTGATACGAGTAGAACCACAGATCTTGCTGTCATACTTACATTCAATATTTTCTCTAGGATCACTCTAATTACTAGAGTTCTGCTATGGCAGGTTTTAGGTTGTTTTGCTAGTACTTTTATAGTTTTAGAGAGAGAGTTCACTGAGGTCCTCATTATGTCATACTGTATGTATATGATTATTGAACAATAGTAGTGTCTGGGAAAAGAAAGCTTTTTAAATTCTTTACTGGAGCTAATGAGTCTTGGTTCCATATCCTAAGATTCTCTAGGAGTTGTTAATGTCATTATAGTTGCAATTAACAAAATAAATATGGCTTCTGAAAAATCTATTATTTAGTTTACAGAAGTAACATTCAGAGTACCTTGGTAGGTCATCTTAGTCTATTTTAGCTTCAACTTTATAGTTCTAAAAACCTAAATTGAGCAGAGTATATAGAGATAATTTGATTCAGAAGAACTGATTCAAACTAACAAATCGAAATGTGTTAACCAAAACGCAAACTTTACTTTGATTTACATTAATCACCATGCCTTACTGAGGGGCCTAAATATTCAAATAATCAACATAGCTTGAAAGTGACTTAAAGGCATATCTAAAAAGTATAACTATAATGCTATTCGATTAACAAGGAAAATAATACATTGTATCAATATTTAAAATATGGAATCACTTTTTATGTACTAGGCACTGTACTAATATTTTTTGATATATTACCCAAGTTATCTTTTCAAACCTTCATATGATGGCTATAATGATTATTGCCGCATATACAAAAATGGACTAGAGTAAGAGAGATTAGAAAATCATTCTCATATTTTAATTAAATATTTGATGGCCTACTTATAGTTAAAATACTAAGAAGATAGAAACAGTGGAGCCCTTCTTGAAATCTTTTTCTCCCTAATATTTTTATGTTGTATCCTATAAATCATCATGTACTTTTAATTTTACCTTCTAAATAATTTTCGCATGTGTATTTTCTTATTCATCTTTGCTACTACTGCCCGAATATTGGCCTTTAATATTTCTTAACTGGGTCATCTTAACAGCCTCCCTATTGATTTCTTTCCTAAGCATCTTTGACCTATTAACACATACTTCATATTGCACCCATAATTATCTTTCTACAATGCAAATATGACAATGCCACCCCTAGTTTTTGTACTTTAATTTCCCCCTTCCATCGCAAATGTAGTTGTAAACACAGACACGGTCTTCTCAAGATCATTGAGGGGCATATGTAAAAATTATCAGAGGAATCTCCTGGTAAGAGGCCCTTCTCACCTTGCCAAATACATAAAGGAGATTCAAAAAGTATTTGTTGAATAAATCAATGAATGCATGAAATATAACACTAAGAAAGTGAAGAGGATTAGGGAGATGGAAGAAATAAGATATTTACAGCCCTCTCCTGGATAGTGCTATGGTCAAATGATAGGGAGAGTAATGGCACAAGTACAATAAACATTATTAGAGTTTTTTTCCCTTTTTTTCCTGTATTTCCCCCATTTTCTCCCAAAATAGTCTATTAAAGACAGAAAAATAAGACATAATCAAACAAATGTTCTACTTCAGACCAAGATGTTTACTACTGTATCAATCAACTAAAAAAAAGTAAAAATACATGAAACAACGGTTTTCAAGACACTAAACATCAGCCAACAATGGACAGTGAGCCCTGAAAGACCAGAACTCAACAAAGTAAATCCTACAATTGTTCCAGCTGCTAGTCCTGAGATTTTTTTACACCATAACAGGAAGCAAGTAACTAGGCCAAGCCTGGCAGACTCCCTGAACTGAGCAGGCAAAGTTGGTCAGAGTTACCAAGGTGGCTAGAGTTCATGAAACAGATATGTAGATAAGACAGCTGCACAGGGAGAAGGCGGGAGTCTGAGGTGTCCTCTTCCAGCATCCAGCAGTGCTGGTCAGAGTATGCAAATGAGGAAGCAGTGAAGACATACCCCGGAGGCTTTTAACGTCTTTACTATTAACTTCCTTCTGACCACAAAGAAAACTTTTCTTGGCACAAACCTAGGACTTTGTTCAAGATGTCCATCCGTCTCTACTACTAGTAAGTAAATAGTTCTTTAGCAGTACTTTCTTCCTGGAATCAACTTAAGATTTTAACATTTGGTTGATAAAATCTACAAGTGTGGTAATGAAAGATATTTGTTCCATATTTTGCTTCTTACAAATGCTCATAGCTCTTATCATATTCTCATAAATACCACAAAAGTCCAGTTATTTTCTTGCACAAGATAAAGATTTATGCTTTCCAAAGACTGTGAATATATCATGTCATTTTTTTCATCAGTCTCATATTACTAAAAACTACATCTAAGACATCTAATTAAATGCAAATGAATACAATTTAACATAAAATGCTATTTCATTGATAGTACATTTTAAGATTTCAACCTCAATTTTTAGCTATATTAAAGTATCTCAGAGATATCTTCTATGTAAATACACAAAATAAAATGGATTGTAATGAAAACATTTATTGCTATACATACAATAGTATTTTAACAATTACAAAAGTATTATTTCTTCTATTGCTTTCTATTTAATCAAATAGAAAATATGACATAACACTCCTGTGAAGTACTTTGGATAAATTATGTATAAAAAATGTAAAATATATAGAAATACAAAATATTATACTCAAATTTGAATTTTTTTAAATTGTCATGTGAACTATAATGATACAGTATTAATTTTTCTTGTTTAGAAAATGCATTAATGTATGTTAAAACCAATGTATGTATATTTTAATTCTAATACCATAGTTAAAATATTAATATGAGTTATCTCGTTATCATTTGATATGATAGCTCTAAAATTCAAAGTTATTTCTTAAAGAAATACATAATAGTGCATATAGTAATGTGACTTTAAAATATATTTTCATGGGAAAAGAGATGGGAGAGCTTAACCCTTTTTTCTTTTTTTTTTGAGATGCAGTTTTGCTCTTTCGCCCAGTCTGGAGCGCAGTGGCGCCATCTCTGCTCACTGCAACCTCCACCTTCCAGTTTCAAGTGATTCTCCTGCCTCAGCCTCCCAAGCAGCTGGGATTACAGGCGCCCACCACCACGCCCAGCTAATTTTGTATTTTTAGTATAGATGGGGTTTCACCATGTTGGCCAGGCTGATCTCAAACTCCTCACCTCAAACTCTGCCTGCCTTGGCCTCCCCAAGTGCTGAGATTACAGGTGTGAGCCACCGTGCCTGGCCAGAGAGCTTAACCCTTAATTGGCATTTTCTATGATGACATATGAACCCAAATATCAAGCTGCATATGGTCATCCACTCAAACCTATCACATATATGTGCAAAATACCATCTCACAGCTGGTGATGAACTATTCACAAGTTTCTATTTGTTTACTCAGGTACAATTCTAATCTCTAAGAGAAAAATGTTTTCAGTTTTCAGCCTTTTAGTGTTAAGTGAAGCTCTACACATACAAAATTACTACTTCAATAAAAACTCATTAAATTTCATGAGAGGGCTGGAGAATAAGGTGGAGGAAATCTGGAAATGGGACAACAGTACCAACAAATTTTCAAAAAATGTATGAAAGATAAACTAAATTTAGAGCATCAGAATCCTTGGATAAGAGTTCTTCTGCCAATAAGCTAGATGACAGAAAAAGAAAGAGGAGAAAAAAAAAGATTAAAATGATGAAAGGCATTTATCAAAGAAAGAGTGCTAAAATAGAACAAAACAGAAATCAAACACAAAAATTAGCTGTTCGGGTCCCAGCCATCATCTTCATCATCCCTGTGGCAGGGAGAAGCAAGGGATGGGGTTGCAGAGGGCTCACATCCACTTTCACTAAACTTCATTTCTACAGGGTTACCCACTACCCTTCACTGAATTTCACTGGCCAGATTTTGGTACATGGCCCAATCTAGCTACTAGGGAGGCAGTATGCATGAAATGAATTAAAAAGAAAAACAGGCTGGGCACGGTGGCTCACGCCTGTAATCCCAGCACTTTGGAAGACCGAGGCGGGCAGATCACGAGGCCAGGAGTTCAACACTAGCCTGATCAATATGGTGAAACTCCATCTCTACTAAAAATACAAAAAATTAGCTGGGCATGGTGGCAAGTGCCTGTAGTCCCAGCTACTCGGGAGACTGAAGCAGGAGAATTGCTTGAACCCAGAAGGGAGAAGTTGCAGTGAGACGAGATTGCACCACTGCACTCAAGCTTGGGGGACAGAGCGAGACTCCATCTCAAAAAAAAAAAAAAAAAAGAAGAAGAAGAAGAAGAAAAACAATGTTGTAGAAGAGAAGAGTGAACCTATACTATTACGTAAATTATATACTCTATGATCTGTGAATAATATTTCCATAATCATAGAATGTTAGTGCTGAATAATGATTTAACAAAAAGTGTGAACTTTTATTTTGGGGGTATTCACATTATGTCTGGCGAATTCATTAGTGTTAAAGCCTCATCTTTCATAATAGTAATCATATATCATCTCTAAAACAGAAACAAAAAACTAACATTATAATTGATAAAGGAAGAAAAATCAATCAAAATTGCTCCCTTTAAGTGGAAGGATTTGAGTACCTTATTTCTTTTAAAATTTTTATATTGTACACGTTTCCTTAAGGAAACATGAAAAATTGATTTTTTTGAAAAGGTAGGACTAATGGTTTGGTGGTATGGAAGAAGTTGTAAAATTGCAAGGACAGGGGTACTATAGTCAGAGAATTTACAAGAACTTGAAGGACTGGAATTGATACATTAGTACTGACAATAGGGGTGGCCATGGGAGTTAATGGCTGAGCTAAGTTGGAGAAATGTTATTAAATTCTAAGAGGTTAAGGAACTGAGAAGAAAAGTTTTTGAATAATCTTTCATGGGAATGATGATAATATCACTAAGATTAATAATAGAAGAAGGACTCGATTTTTTAAAAAATGAGGAGAGTGATCAGGAGATAGATGATAACTACATAGGGAAATATGGCATGGCATAATCGTTGGACATCTGGGTCAAATGACTTGTGAGTTTTTAAGGCAGAAGATAGAAAAATGATTTGAAAGTGGTAATGAAGAACAGTGTGAGTCTTACACCTCACCACTAAGACCTGAGCTATTGAGTTAGGAGAGGAAAGAAAAGAGTCCACCTGAAAAAGCTGCAGAGAAGACGGTGTCTTTATCAGAAACTCACTTATTTGGAGAAGTAATGGGAACATTCAGAAAACTGACTAAGGCTTAAGGGGAATTGCTAATGATAGCCCATATATTTCAGACTTGGGATGTATAAAACATTATGAGCGTTAGAATTGGTTGGTATAAAAGGGAGTAGAAAGTCCGGGTTCTGGCGAAGATATTAGTAAAAAGAGAAGTAGGATATCATGGAGTTAGTACCTAATGCGCTCAACTGGGTATTTCTGGTGACTCATTGTCTTCAGAGAAAAGTCACCAAGACATCAGGGGATTGTTAACTCCTGAGGGAGAGCTATTCTGGAGTTTGATGTGGTACAATTGTGCTCAATAAATGAAAAAGTAATTTACAAATAAAGCCATGGTTGGAAACATGAAAATTCAGAACTATCTGAAAACATTGTTATCTACAAGCAGAAATAAGATTATTACAGAGAGCCTAATATATAGGAAAAAAGAGGTTAAGGTACTGATCAGAAAGAAAAACGACACAACAAAGAGAAAAATAAATGGAGAATAGCTACCTAACAACAAGAAATGGAACAAAAAAATACAGTGAACATAAACCACCCTGAAAGGGAGCACTGTTGGCAGTGATTAAAAAAAAATAAAAGAAAACTGTACGGTTTTCTTGAAGGACTGCCTTTGACTTTACCTCGTATTCAGCTTCCTTTGCTCCCCATACACAACATGCTTGCAAGCCTCTAATAACCATTGACTAGCAACGTGAAGCCCAAGAAATACAGTGAATTTCTGTGTACAGAAAGAACTGCTTTTATTAGCTGCCAGACACAGCCTAGAATAAAGTTTTGGCAACAGTCGAGTAAATTGCTTCAGTGGATGGAAGTATACTTTTCTTGGCTTTCTGGGTAGGAACCGTACAGCGGCCTCTGGAGGCTGGCTGATAGAATGGATCCCATTATTTATTGATATATCATCTTAAAACTGATAAAGATGTTGTGTAATTATTTTTACCTCTTAAACTCCTATTGATATCAGGAATTAGATTTTAGTCTTCATTTATCTGTTTCTAAACTTCAACATGATTAAAAGTATGTTCAGCTTTCATGATTCTCTAAACTAAAATATTGTGGGTTTGTTATCATGAAAACCTATTTCTCAAAAAGGCACTTCTCTCTGAGATAACACTGGGGCTAGTAGTGAATATACTGGTATATTGGATATTCAATGCCAGTTAATTCTGAATGTAATCTTAGTTCTAGTCTAATAGCCAGGCGTATAGTGTTACTTATAGCCACTATATTAACAGAAGTTTTTATTTAAAAAGAAGATGCTACAGTATTGAACGTGCTAATATAGAACTAAAATGTTTGGAAAAAAAGACATTATAAGAGTGTGAATTTTAAGCTGTTTTGTTTCTCTTATTTAATCCATAAATATGGTGCCGTAATTAGGTTCAGAAAATTAAAAAGATGAAGCTTTTATAAATTAGTAAGTATTAAGTCTCTCCTAATATTGAAATAACCCCATACATTAAGTTTTCTTACATTCCAAATCCAAGAGCAAGAATATTCTTAGAAATCTTTACATAGGACCAGGCACGGTGGCTCAGCTTCTAATCTGAGCACTTCGAGAGGCCGAGGTGGGTGGATCACGAGGTCAGGAATTCGAGACCAGTCTGACCAACATGGTGAAACACCCCGTGTTTACTAAAAGTACAAAAATTAACCCGGCGTGGTGGCTCGCGCCTGTAATCCCAGCTACTCAGGAGGCTGAAGAAAGAAAATCGCTTGAACCCGGGAGGCAAAGGTTGCAGCGAGCCGAGATCTTGCCACTGCATTCCAGCCTGGGTGACAGAGGGAAAAAAGAAAGAAAGAAAGAAAGAAATTTTTACATAGCTAGATTTTAGGAAGAAAAATATTTTTTTTTCATGGAGTTGGAGAACCTTATTTCCCACGCAAGTATGATTCTGTCATAATCAAGTCTGCAGTCATCTCTTTCCACAGAAGAGAAAAACTATAAGAACCCACCTGAACCAATGGAGAAGGTGCATGTGATAAACAACTGTATTGTAATTTTCTTAAGTGCTTGAATAAAATAGCCAGTCAGCCAGGTAATATACACAATTGTCCAGCATTTTGAAGATATAAAAAACAAACTTGAAATGGCATAACATGTATTTATTTATTTATTTATTTATTTGAGATGGAGTCTCGCTCCGTTGCCTGGGCTAGAGTGCAGTGGCGCGATCTCAGCTCACTGCAACCTCCGCCTTCTGGATTCAAGCAATTCTCCTGCCTCAGCCACCTGAGTAACTGGGGCTACAGGCGTGCGCCACTACGCCCAGCTAATTTTTATATTTTTAGTAGAGATGGGGTTTCACCATGTTGGTTGGGCAGGATGGCCTCGATCCCTTGACCTCGTGATCTGCCCGCCTCGGCCTTCCAAAGTGCCGGTATTACAGGTGTGAGCCACAGCGCCCGGCCCATTTGTTTATTTTCTTAATACTCAACACTTGAAGGCAAATAATGTACAATAATAATCTGACAATTATTGAAAATTATATATTTTTTAAAAATAAAAATTTTGGTTTCAGAAAGTTTTTTAATGTGAGGTACTATATTTTCTTAATTATAACTCATAGAGAATCTAGCCAATTAAGAATGTTCATAAATCAATAAATATTACTTGAATAATGATGCTACATACAAAGACCAAATGAAAACTATGTGGGCAAATTGTTGGCAGCAGATAGGTTTCCTTTAGAAATTCCTTTCACATAACACTATTTGGACAGAATGTTACCTATTTCAATCACTTCTAAACCATCTTGAGAATGGAAAGTCAAGGAGAATTGCAGAGTTTTTTAACTATTTGATGAGAACTTTATCACCTTTCCTTTGATGTGTAACTTTCTCTTGAGAGAGGCCTAGGGCAGCTCTGACTGAGATTGGCATCTGAAGAATCTAAGTGTTGTAATGTTGTGATCCCTTCATTGTATTTGTTTGTGGGTAAATATTTTATAAAAGCCTTCAAATATAAAACTTCCCTGGTCATGATTTTTAACATTCTCTCTGGTTTAACCAAGTTTCTTTTCTTATTTTGTCTTAAGGCAAACTGTAGTAAGCAGTTTTCAAACATCAAAATCAACAAGCTCATACTTAGTTTGAGATTAGTTAAATACTAATCCTAAATCATTTCAAACAAAGCTGACTAGTAGTTATCAAAAATTAATTTGTTATGATTGGCATTTTATTATAATCTTTAATAATAATAAAGTTGATTGTGTTTGATCAATTTCAAAATTTTAACAGAGATCTGTGAGCTCTTTATGAATGAACATTACATAAAACTTGAGTGTAGGCTCTATGTTCAAAAAATATCCATACATTTTAAACTTCAGTTATTATGGGATTCATCTTTTTGACTAAGGAAAATAGTTGAAATAACATATTCTGTAAAAAAGCAGTTCTATCAGAAAAATCTTCAAGTCATGGCACACAGTGGCTCATGCCTGTAATCCCAGCACTTTGGGAGGCCAAAGCAGAGTGGATCACTTGAGGTCAGAAGTTCGAGACCAGCCTGGCCAACACAGTGAAACCCTGTCTCTACTTTATTTTTTTAATTAATTTATTTTTTTTGCCTCTGAACTTCTTATTGGCCTCCTGCTCCCCAAAGGGTACCCTGCGTCTGCTGGCTTAATGTCTCAGAACTTTGGTGTCGTTGGTCTCAGACACCACTTTGTCATCCACTATCCTGCAGGTGGTGGACTTTTGGTTGTTTCCATGGAGCTGCTGCTGTCCAGGGCATCACCATGATTGAAGTTCTTCCCGTCTTCCAGTGGGCTGCAGTAGGTGGCAATCTCAGCCTCCAGCTTGACCTTGATGTTCAGCAGGGCTTCGTACTCCTGGGCCTGGCGCTGTCCCTCTGCCCGAGTCTGTGCCAGCTCTGACTCCAGGTGCAGCAGGATGGCATTGAGCTGCCCCATCTGCAGGGCATAGCAGACCTCCACCTCCCTCAGGCTGTTCTCCAAGCTGGCCTTCAGATTTCTCATGGAGTCCAAGTCGATCTCCAAGGACTAGACTGTATGTCTCAGCTCCGTGAGTGTCATCTCAGCAGCTCCAACCTCAGCAGACTGTGTGATGACCACTGTGGTGCTCTCCTCAATCTGCTGAGACCAGTACTTGTCCAGCTTCTCTCGGTTCTTCCCAGCCAGCTCATCGTATTGGGCCGAATGTCTGCCATGATCTTGGTGAGGTCCTGCGATTTGGGGGCTTCTATCTCCATGGTCAACCCAGAGCTGTCAATCTGGGCTTGTAAGCCTTTTACTTCCTCTTCCTAGTTCTTCTTCATGAAGAGCAGCTCCTCTTTGAGAGCCTCGATCTCTGTCTCCCTGCTACAGCTGAGTGACATTAGTGTCATCAATGACCTTGCAGAGCCCATGGATGTCACTCTCCACAGACTGACGCATGGCCAGCTCTGTCTCATACTTGACTCTAAGGTCATCAGCAGTAAGACGGGCATTGTCTATCTGCAGAACGATGTGGGCATTGTCCACAATATTTGCGAAGATCTGAGCGCTCAGTTCCTCGATGGTCTTGAAGTAATGGCTCCAGTCCCTGTCCTGGGGTCCCTTCTTCTCCAGGTGCTCCCGGATTTTGCTCTTCAGGATTTTGCTCTTCAGCTTCGGGTTCTCAGTCTCCAGGCTCCTCACTGTCCAGGTAGGAGGCCAGGCGGTCATTCATGCTTTGCATGGTCTCCTCGTTCTAGATGCCTCCCATTCCTGCCAAATCCCCCGCCATCCTCATGGCCAGGCCCCGAGACCCCATGCCGCCCAGGAAGCTGGTAGAGCGGGACACGGAGATCCGGGAACCAGGGCCCCTGGCGGCTGCATAGACGATGGCCGCGCTGCTGCCTGGCAGGGCACCATAGCTGGACACCTGGACAGAGCCCAGGGAACGGTAGTTGGTGGAGAGGGTGGAGCGAGTGGTGAAGCTCATGCTGTTTGGGGAGGAGAGCGAGAGGACAGGACTCAGGCTTTGCCAACGACCCCCTGTCTCTACTTTAAATACAAAAATTAGCTGAGCATGGTGGCGCATGCCTGTAATCCCAGTTACTCGGGAGGCTGAGACAGGAGAATCGCTTGAACCTGGGAAGTGGAGGTTGCAGTGAGCAGAAATCCCGCCAATGCATGCACTCCAGCCTGGGAGACAGAGTGAGACTCCATCTCCAAAAACCAACCAACCCAACAAACAAAATTTTCAAGTCAACCAAAAAATTGTCGATAGGCCTTTGTTTGTTTGTTTGTTTTACCTGATTTCTCTTAAATTAATGTTGCTCTTAACTCTGAGATAACAAAACAAGGGATTGGTTCATATGTAGGTATCAGTAGAAGTAAAGAGGAAGAGGAACTATAGGAAATGATATTTCAATGTGAGTGTTTTAACATGGTATTGTTTAAACCCAGCTATTTCAAAAGATTTTGTAGTCTTACTGATGATAATATGTCATTGCTACGGGAAGAAAGGTACAAACACAAGTTGAAGACAACATCCTTAATCTAACTTGGAAACAACCTGGGTGCTACTCAATACTCATATTAACGAACTCTATAATGTTTTGACTGCTGAATAAAGTTACTTTAACTAACTTCCAATATCTTCTAATTCATGTATACTTTTAATATATCTCTCCTTTGTGTTTGTATAGATGTATACAGCATGGGTTTGTGAGAAATTTTTCTTGAGAATATATTATTATTAAGCCATAAACTCAGGACAATTTTGGTTTACTAAAGACCAAGGCTGCTTTCATCTGTTCCACCAAAAATGGTTTAATGGTACCACTCACCACCCTTGCCTCTCCTTTCCAGCTCCAGAACATTTAGTTCTCTGTCCTCAGTACCTTCATAGTACCAAATGTATATTTCTGTCCTAACACTTGCCACATTGTGCTGTCAGGTTTTACTATACTTGTGGACCCAGGAGAAAAATGTGCAGCCCTGATATAGGTTTCTTGGTATAGTTGATACTTTGTCATTTCATAACCTGTGCTGAACATAATTTCTGGCTCTTGTTGGATCTCAATGAGAATTTTTGAAAGAATAAATAAATAGTAGGAGCAATGTGAATTTCTGCAAGCAACTTGCTTTTGGAAACAAATTAATCCATTTGTCTTTATTCCTATTCTCTATGGATAGGGAATGTGCAAATTGTTAATGTCCAAATTGTGAATGTTAATTTTTATTCTTTGAAGTAGAATGGGCTGAAAAGAAGTCAAACTGTACATTAACTCTAAATTTTACCTGGAATAGTAGTAACTGAGTCAATGAATTCTGGGAAGAAAATTCTTGAGTTTTTAATCCTGACTTCTGTTATAAATTGTCTGGATATATGCTCCCTGCCTATGTCATAGCATGAGAATAGCAGTAATGGCAGAATGAGCTGATCTACAATATCAATTTACCAAGAAGGAAATGGGCCAGGTGCAGTGGCTCACGCCTGTAATCCGGGCACTTTGGGAGGCTGAGGTGGGTGGATCACTTGAGGTCAGGAGTTCAAGACCAGCCTGGCCAACACGGTGAAACATTGTCTTCACTAAAAATATAAAAATTAGCTGGGCCTAGTGGCATGTGCCTCTAATCCCAGCTACTCATAAGGCTGAGGCAGGAGAATCACTTGAACCTGGGAGGCAGTTGTTGTAGTGGCCCGAGATCGCACCACTGCATTCCACCTTGGGCGACAGAGGGAGACTCTCTCAAAAAAAATTAAAAAGTAAAATCTAGAAGAGTAGCTAAGATTTTATTCAAGCAATTATCTATTGAGAGACTTACCTAGACATGATTCTGTTGCTGATGAAATTTGACCTTGTCGCCACTTCCGGCCCTAACTCCCTTTTGAGTTTGGCTTACACAGCTCATCTGCAGGGCTCTCTGAAACACAGCACTTCTTTGCCAGGGTAAGAAACTTTGTTTTCCTGCTTCAATCTCTGAGTACTATGTGTTATTAATTCTCTTTCCTTAAGGCCCTGTCAACATACGCTGTGTGAGCTTACAGATTTGTTAAGATACAATGGTAGTACCCTACTCCTTCACTAGAGTAGAAATGTAAGGTATGGATAATTAAGTTCAAAAGATTCCTTGAGCCACGAGAATACAACATACATCAGTATTTGGGAGACAAAAAGATGTATTTTTCTTTTCTTTCTTTTTTTTTTTTTTTTTGAGACAGAGTCGTGCTCTGCTTTGTTGCTCAGGCTGGAATGCAATAGTGCGATCTCGACTCACTGCAACCTTCGCCTCCCGGGTTCAAGTGATTTTCCTGCCTCAGCCTCCTGAGTAGCTGGGACTACAGGCATGTGCCACCATGCCTGGCTAATTTTTGTATTTTTAGTACAGATAGGATTTTGCCATTTTGGCCAGGCTGGTCTTGAATTCCTGACTTCAGGTGATCCACCCAACCTTGGCCTCCCAAAGTGCTGGGATTACAGGTGTGAGCCACCACACCAGTCCCAAAAAGATGTATTTTCTCTATCTTTTAAATTATTTTGTAAATATAATAAATATTCAGAGGATTAGAAAATATAAAAATGTGAAAAAATGTTTGGGAGTCTGGCCTATTATGACCTCACAGGATTTTTCAAATTTGCTTCTATGACACTATATCATATTAATACCTGTAATTTTGAGGTAGGAAAAAAATTGTATATTGCTTTTAACAAAAACTTTGATTTAGGCACTGAATTATTCTTTCATAATATTCAGTTTGCTTTCAGATTTCAATAAATTTGCTATTTTAATATGCCCAATTTCTTAGCCTATTATACTCTGACATTCATTATTAGCAGGATTTTGTAAAATAAAAATATTTGAAATTATCTGTGTGGGACCAAGCTGAATTAAGAAATGTGGCTCTAGAACTGTTTTCATTTGAGACTTGTTTTAATTTCGAATACTGACCCCATGTGCACATATAGACACAGCACCTCATGGAGAAATTGAGCAAGGTTTGCCTCACCAGTGATTACCTGCTCTTCTCTTTCCTGTCACTAACGGTGTCCAAAATAGTAATTACTGCTTTAAGGGTGTCCAGATAACTCTGCTCCAACCAGTGAGATATAAGTTGACTTCACAGAATGAGGCTTCTAAGAACCCATAAAGGGAAACATAGGCTGTGAAAACATTTTGTCCTTTGTTCTTCTCTGACCTGGAGTGCACTAAGTGATGTTGAAGATGAAGCAGGCAATGAAAACCTTTTCACCTTAATGTCCCCACTAATTATTAAGAAAACTATCACTCTTACCTCCTAAAACAAGCCAGTAGATTCACCAACTATTATTTTTTTTTTTTTTAGAGAGACTATAAATTGAACCTGTAACAGAAGCATTTAAAAATCTGTTCAGACAGAAGAACTGGGTATTCACAACCGCCAACCTGATAAACTGTCTTAAACAGTTGCTCTTTTTTTTTTTTCTGCCTCTACATATCCAGAAGTTTGAAATAGTCTGGGCTAATACAAGAGCCCCAGTGTTATCAGGCACATGAGCATCCTTTAGAATTCCTTTCTCTGTTATTTTTCAAGTGGAGTGAGCTTTTCTGTGGTCGCAAGGTGCCTGCTTCACCTTCAACATCACTTAGGGCATTGCAATCCAGGAGAAGAACAAAGACAGACACAGTAATTTCACAGCCTATTTGCCCCATAATAGACTTTCATGGAAGCCATACTTCACAAAGGTGTTTATATTTTATTGGCCAGAATATACTTTTTTGGGCAACTTTAGACCAATGATTGGAAGCTAAATTTGGAGAAAGTATTTGTCCATAGGGTTAGTCAGCCAACCAATAGTGACCTCCACTGTTTTTACTTAAAGGTGATATGACAGACAAAAAAGAGAAAAGTTAAACAAAGGAATGTAATAATGCATACAATTTTTAAAATGTCCTTTCTACAGTGCCTTTGTGTACAGAATAGCTGACTAAAAGGAGTTACTAAGAATTCAGAACTCTGCTGTTGGTTTGCTTGGCTATGCTTTGCTGATGTGCAGAAAGGCTGGCATACTTAGTTGAGAAAACAATATGGAAATATCATTACATAAGACACAATTAATATCAATATATTTCTTTTATATATTACATACTTCCTAGGGAAAAATCACTCAAATACAAGCATTAGATTCAAAACTACAAGCTGATATAGGAGTGTTTACATTAATTACCAGTAACGAAATTTGAATTGGCCCTCATGGCCAAGGTAAAGTGCAACTGAACCCCAATACCTGAGCTTGGTTTTTCCTCAGCCACATTTCAACAGGTGCCTCTTATCCTTCCAATCAGGGAGGAAAAATGGAGTAGCCCAGGAATCCTTTGGAACTTCCTAAGCCTTCAATTAGAACAATATTTCACAATGTTTTTTTCATGTTGTGGCAAAATAGAATAGTACACTATTTGAAGTTCATGGAGGAAGATGCTCCTGCCTGGACTGGGCTGGGTTGAGCAATTTCATGGATAAAGTAGTTAAAGATCTTGGGACATCGTTAAACCATTCATAGCCTCCCTGTGCATCATAAAATGATTAAAAAAATTTCTTAGAACATAAGTTTATATCACAGCTAGGGTTTATCTACTAAGCTAAAGCATATTCTGCCAGGTAGTGATACTACAAATGACTGATCACCTTTCTTTGTGCCCCAAGTCTTTTTTCCCATCTGGAAAAATCGTCTCATTTTACAATTCAAATTTGTCTAATTTCATTTTATTTCAGATCCTTATGCCTGTCCTTTAAAAAAAAATCTTACTCCTTTCTTAAGGTTTTTTTTTCTAGAACCTGACTGTTCTCTTTTTATTAAATCAAAGTATGCAATATGGATCCTGAACAGTCATAGGCAAGCTGTGTGTATTGATTAGCAAGGTGGAGCTTGTCCCTGAACTGATTTTCTATTGGCAAATTCAGGGTAAGGCCAAGTATGAAGTCTGAATCCCGTGTTTTCTCTTTTTTCTTTTTTTTTTTTTTTTGGCTTCCCCTCTTTTTGTGACATTCTTGCCCTCACTCTTCAACCTCCTTGTCCCACTTAGACCCAACTCAAGAATGTTTTTTCCATTGGTGCTGGTTTTCAACCAGTCAGGATCTTTGGTCTTCTGACAAAATCTCTTATCATATAAAAGTAATTGTGTGAAATTATTTCAGCTGGTTTTAATATCACTTGGCATTTCATCTAAGTTATAGTTCCTTGAAAATAACTGAGTCTTCTAAATATTTGTACCCACAATGCTACGCACAGTCAATAAATTATGCTTTTAAAAATATTACATAACTTCTAAAACATAAATAAAACTATACAGTGTGGTATAATGTACTCATTACACTCATTATTCATACATGGCCAATCTTAGTTTATCTTCATCTAATGCAATTAGTATTCCCAAATGTCAGACACCATATAGTATGTCAGTATATGTTTCTAAAATATAAGGACTTCAAAAAAATGCAGCATAATACTGGGAAGCAGCTTCACCAAAAGAGGACCCCCATTGTGGGGCAGATTGCAGAGATCATCATCATGTGAATCACCAGGAATTGGAGTCCAAACTCTTCCACCTGCTGCAGCCTGGGCTGCACTGTTACCAATATGAGAAGGAACACATTCATGTGCAACAGTTATTTAAAGCAGGTTTATTAATTATAGATGGGTAGGAAGGGAAATAAGAAGTGTTGGATCCACTGTGAGCTGATCCTCAAGGTTCAGAAAGTTGCCCAAGGCAGATGGAGTCTCAACTGACATGGTCCACTTGCATGACAGCTGAGGGACACCAAAAAGTAGACCACCCTGGGCTACTAACTCAGGAGCATGTGACTCACTGGGCAAAGCTTTGAAGGCCACCCTGCTTCCAAGGGAGAGAGGAACAAAGCCCCAGTTAGTTCCAGATAGTTTCTCCCTAACTTAAGATGTTACATTTCCTAGGAGACAGAGACAAGTCCCAGGCAGTTTCTCTCTGCCTAAGCATATTGCATTCCTAGCACATTCTACACTTGTTGTTGAGAACTGTAAGCAAGAAGGCGGGGAAAACTAAGTCAGTCCAAGACCATGTGAAGAACTGCCCTGAAAATACCACTTTCACACTAAGAAATGAATGATAACCTCATAATGTTTTTCCAGTATTCATATTATAAGGGTCTTACAAGTGATTTTTAACATATTACTTTTTTGGATCTGAATACAAAGAAAGTCCATATATTGCAATAGGATGTTACGTCTTCTTAATATTTGTATCTAGTCTTCTTTTCATCTACTTTTTCAATTAAGGTAAAATTTACATACAAGGAAATGCACAGATTAGGTGACAATTCTGTGAGTTTTGACTAATGTATACATCATGTACCCTATACCCCAATCAAAACAGAAACGTTTCCATCACCCTACAAACTTCCCTTATGGCTCCATCCAGTTTTTGTCATCACCCCATAGTTCAGATTTTCTATCAAAAATTAAGGTTGTCTAATCTAAAAATTCATGTATATGAAATCAGACTTACTATTTTGCAACTGAAATATTCCTTTCAAAAAATGTTTATAAAATTCAGCCATGTCTTCCTATATATCAGTCTTATTTTATTTTATTTTAGAAATGGGGTCTCACTCTGTTGCCCATGCTGGAGTACAGTGGCTCTATCCTAGCTCACCGCAGGCATGGACTCCTGGGCTCAAGCGATCCTCTCACCTCAGCCTCCCAAGTAGCTGGGACCACAAGCGCAAGCCACCATGCCTGGCTAATTTTTGTATTTTTTGTGAAGATGGAGTCTTACTATGTATGTTGTCTAGGCTGGTCTGATGCTCCTGGGCTCAAGGGATCCTGTCACCTAGGTCTCCCAGTGTTGGGATTACAGGTGTCAGCCATTGTGCCCAGCCCCATGTATCAGTCTTTTATTATTGATGAATATTGCAGTATATCAATATATCCCATTTTATCCATTCTCATGCTGATGGACATTTGATTTGCTTTCAGTGTTTTGCTATTATTAATAATGATTCTATAAACATAAGTAATGTGTAAATTATTTTTCTGGAGCTATACCTTTATTTCTCTTGTGTAAGTAGTTGGGTGTGGAATTACGTGGTCTCGAAGTCAGTGTAAGTTGGACTTTATAAAAAGACTATCAATGCTGATTTTTAAAATTCTTTTCTGTTATCCTCAACGTATATGCATTTTCTAATTCTTTCACATCATGGCCAAAGTCAAATTGGGTTTTTGCTTTTTAATTTTTGATACATAGTTCATATATTCTACATATCTATTTTATATGACATAATATGTGATAAATATGTAAATATGAGTGCAATATATTAAACAGTTAATGTAAAATGTAGCATACTATAGTATAATGTAATATAAATGAAGGGCAGTTGGAGTCTTGACTGCAAGTGCTCTACTTGCACGACAGCTGAGCGGCACCAAAAAGTAGACCACTCTGGGCTACTTTATTTATAATTTTGTATAAATTATAAATTAGCTATATAAATATAACTATATATTGATATATGGTTATCTATAAGTATGTGTAAATATACATATAACATATTATAAATTATATAATATGTAATATATAATATAATTTAGTATACGATAAAACATATAGTTTATATAATATTCTATATATCAGTAACAAAATGTCAACTTATATATAAGATTATATATATAGCTGTGTATATATATATATATATATATATATATATATATATATATTTTTTTTTTTTTTTTTTTTTTTTTTTTGAGATGGAGTCTCACTGTGTCACCCAGACTGGAGTGCAGTGGCACGATCTCAGCTCACTGCAACATCCGTCTCCGGGGTTCAAGCGATTCTTCTGCTTCAGCCCCCCCAGCCCCCCTCCCCCGCCCGCCCGTAGCTGGGACTACAGGCACGCACCACCATGCCTGGCTAATTTCTGTATTTTTAGTAGAGACAGGGTTTCATCATATTGGCCTGGCTAGTGTCAAACTCCTGACCTCGTGATCTGCCCATCTTGGCCTCCCAAATTGCTAGAATTACAGGCATGAGCCAGCGCACCGGGTGAGATTATATATTCTTTATGTCAATTCTATGTATTATGTATGTCATATAATATATAATATATATTATCTATGGTTACATGTTACAGGTTAGAAGTTAGGATATAAGTCCTTCATAAGTGTTATACCTATTAGATATGGGAACATTTCCTCTCAATGTGAGGCTTGATTTTTATTTTCTTAATGGTGCTATAAAATGAAAAAGAATTAAATTTTGTTAATATCCGATTTATATATTTTTCATAAAAGCTTAGTGTTTTATGTTTCTCAAAGAAATCACTGACTACTAATTACAAAAGTATTCTATGTTTTCTTTGAGAAAATTTAAAATGTTACTTTTACTATTAGATCTATTAGGATTCCAAATTAATATTTGCTTGTGCTCTGCAGTAAGGATCAAGGTTTTTTATTTGATATGATTTTGTGTGTGTGTGTGTGCTTTTTTTCCCCAATGTTCATCCACTTTTTCCAGCAGCAGGTTTTGAGATTTTCATTTCTCAGTTGAATGGCCTTAGCAAGTCTGTGTTTAATTGATAGTATTTGTGAGGTTAATTTCTGAATTCTCCATTCTGTTCCACTGACTGATTTCTTTACTTTTATATCAATCACACACTTGCATGATTATTGTGGACTGATAAATAGCCAGAAAGTCAGGTATATCCCTGATTTTCATGTCAAGATATCTTTGGCTCTTCGAGGTCCTTTACGTTTTTATGTACATTTTAGAAATAATTTGTCAATTGCTGTAAACATATGCTGTTATTTTGGTTGGATTTCCATAGAATCTATAGCACATTTTTTTTTTAGATAATTGACGTCTTAGAAATATCACATTTTCCAATGTATAAATATATTGTGTTATTCACTGGCTTCCTTAATTTCAGTCAGTAATATTTTCATCTTTTAAATATAGAGGTCTTGCACATTTAACAAGCATATTTCTTAATTTTTTTATGTTAATGTAAATTGACTTTTTAAAATTTCAATTTCCAATTGTCAGTAGTATGTATAAATACAACTGATTTTTCTTCAAAAACCTTCTATTCTGTAATCTGTCTAAATTCATTTTTAATTAAAAAGATTTAGTACTCTCCTTAAGATTTCGTTAATAGTCTATCATACCTCCTGTGTAAGAACACTTCCTTTTTCCTGTCCTTATATAAAGAGTTATTTATTTATTTATTTATTTGTCTTGCCTTATGGTGCTAACCAGGACCATGGATATAATGTTGAATGGAAGAGCTGAGACAAAATATGCCTTTTGTTCTATCTCAGAAGAAATGCTTCATCAGTAAGTATGATGTTAGCTATAAGTTTTTACAGGTGCCCATACTTAGGCTGAGACATTTTTCTTCAATTATTTTTGTATGAGTATTTCTATTATGAACAGGAGTAGAGTTTTTTTCATATGAATTTTCTTTGGGTACATAGATGGTCATATAATTCTTTGGCTTCTTAATATGGACATAAGCTCCTTAATTTTAAATTGCTCTTTTCTTATTTTTTATTTTTTTATTATACTTTAAGTTTTAGGGTATATGTGCACAATGTGCAGGTTTGTTACGTATGTATACATGTGCCATGTTGGTGTGCTGCACCCATTAACTCGTCATTTACATTAGGTATATCTCCTAATGCTATCCCTCCCCCCTCCCCACCCCCACAACAGGCCCCAGTGTGTGATGTTCCCCTTCCTGTGTCCAAGTGTTCTCATTGTTCAGTTCCCACCTATGAGTGAGAACATGCAGTGTTTGGTTTTTTGTCCTTGCGATAGTTTGCTGAGAATGATGGTTTCCAGCTTCATCCATGTCCCTATAAAGGACATGAACTCATCGTTTCTTATGGCTGCATAGTATTCCATGGTGTATATGTGCCACATTTTCTTAATCCAGTCTGTCATTGTTGGACATTTGGGTTGGTTCCAAGTCTTTGCTATTGTGAATAGTGCTGCAATAAACACACCTGTGCATGTGTCTTTATAGCAGCATGATTTATAATCCTTTGGGTATATACCCAGTAATGGGATGGCTGGGTCTAATGGTATTTCTAGTTCTAGATCCCTGAGGAATTGCCACACTGACTTCCACAATGGTTGAACTAGTTTACAGTCCCACCAACAGAGTAAAAGTGTTCCTATTTCTCCACATCCTCTCCAGCACCTGTAGTTTCCTGACTTTTTAATGATTGCCATTCTAACTGGTGTGAGATGGTATCTCAGTGTGGCTTTGCTTTGCATTTCTCTGATGGCCAGTGATGAGCATGTTTTCATGTGTCTGTTGGCTGCATAAATGTCTTCTTTTGGGAAGTGTCTGTTCATATCCTTCGCCCACTTGTTGATGGGGTAGTTTGTCTTTTTCTTGTAAATTTGTTTGAGTTCTTTGTAGATTCTGGATGTTAGCCCTTTGTCAGATGAGTAGATGGCAAAAATTTTCTCCCATTTTGTACGTTGCTTTTTCACTGTGATGGTAGTTTCTTTTGCTGTGCAGAAGCTCTTTAGTTTAATTAGATCCCATTTGTCAATTTTGGCTTTTGTTGCCATTGCTTTTGGTGTTTCAGACATGAAGTCTTTACCCATGCCTATGTCCTGAATGGTATTGCCTAGGATTTCTTCTAGGGTTTTTACGGTTTTAGGTCTAACGTTTAAGTCTTTAATCCATCTTGAATTAATTTTTGTATAAGGTGTAATGAAGAGATCCAGTTTCAGATTTCTACATATGGCTAGTCATAAACTGTTCTTCTTTTCTGATATAAACATGTAAATTATGAATTTCCTTCTAAGTACTCCTTTAAGTGCGTGTCACAAATTTTGACAAGTGCAGTTTTCATTATCATTTATTTTAAAATATTTTTAAAGTTTCATTGTGTTTCTTCTTGGACAAATGGGTTATTTCAATAGGTTCTTGTATCATTTATAAATATTTGATGCTTTTAAGGTTTATTTTTATTGATTTTTAATTTAATTTAACTTGATTTTTTATTTTATTTTATTTTTATTTTTTTGAGATGGAGTCTCACTCTGTCGCCCAGGCTGAAGTGCAGTGGCATGATTTCAGCTCACTGAAACCTCCAACTCCTGGGCTCAAGGGATCCTCCTGCCTCAGCCTCCTAAGTAGCTGGTATTACAGGCATCTGTCACCACGCCCAGCTAATTTTTGTATTTTTAGTAGAGACGGGGTTTCACTATATTTGTCAGGCTCGTCTGGAACTCCTGACCTCAGGAGATCCACCCATCTCGGCCTCCCAAAGTGCTGGGATTACAGGCGTGAGCCACTGTACTCAGTTTAATTTTATATCATTATGGACAGAGAACAATATTGTATAAGATTTTATTATTCTGAAATTTGAGTCTGGTTTTATGGCCCAAATATAGTAGAGCTTACTGAATGTTCTATGTGCATTAGAAAAAAATGTATATTCTGCAGTTGGTGGGAACAGTATCTTATAAATGTAAATTAGTTCATGCTGACAATCTTGTTCCAAAGACATAAATCTTCTTCTTATTATTATGATTATTTTTGATACAGAGTCTTGCTTTGTTGCCCAGGCTGGAGTGCAATGGCATGATCTTAGCTCACTGCAACCTCTTCCTCCTGAGTTCAAGTGATTCTTGTGCCTCAGCCTCCCGAGTAGCTGGTATTACAGGCATGCACCACCACACCCAGCTAATTTTTGTATTTTTAGTAGAGGCGAGGTTTCACCATGTTGGCCAGGCTGGTCTTGAAATCCTGACCTCAAGTGATATGCCCGCCTTGGCCTTCCAAAGTGCTGGGATTACAGGCGTGACCCACCATGCCCGGCCCCAAACCTGATTTTTTTGTGTACTTATTAATTAGTGAGGAAGCAGTGATAAAAACCTCTAACTATGTTTGTGACCTTCTCTGTTTTTATTTTTGTCACTTTGTATATTTTCCTACTCTATTATTAGATATGCACTAATTTATATTGCCAGGTTTTTCTAAAGAAATCACTCTTTTATTACATGATGTTCTCTCTTAATCTGTGGTAACACTCCTTTTAAAGTCTATTTTTTTACAATATTAATATATCCACTATTTTTTTGAGCTTCTACTTGGTATGGTTTATCCTTTTTCATCTTTTTCCATTCAGCTTATCTCTGCATAAAATAGGCAAGTCTGACATGGAATAACTTTAAATTGCAGTATTTAGTTCTTTATATTTAATAAAATTATTTCCACTTGTTTTTTGTTTCTATCTGCTTATTTTTTCTTTTATGTCTTTTAAAAATAATTGTTTGAATATTCTGTTACTTCTGCAATTTGCTTTTTACAAGAAATTTTTTGTATATTTTTCTAGTGGTCTTTCCAGAGGCTTAAAGTATGTCTAATTAATTTATCAGTCTACTAAAAGTTATGTTGTACCATTTCAGGTAAACTCTAAGAATTTAATTGCAGTATCATCCCATTGCATTCCTTATCATATTTTGTATTATTATTGTAACATATTTTACTTCTAAATATACAGTGCACCACATTCTAATTTTTTTCTTTGAAGAGTTAGTTTATTTGCTTTTAATGAATTGAAGGAAAAAAATTAGTCTATATTTATCCACATCTTTATTATTTCTATTGCTTTGCATTTCTTTCTATGGATAGAGTTCTATCACTTAATTGTTCCCTTAAGCTGGAAGAGCTTTATTTAGCATTTCTAGTAGCACAGGTAAAAATTAATTCATTTAGCTTTTCTTATATGAGAATGTCATTATTTCATCCTTATTTCTAGAATATTATTTCACTTGATAGAGTATTCAAAGTTAACTTTATCCCTTTCTCATGAACTTTAAAGATACCATCTCTTTGTCTTCTAGCATTGAAGATGAGAAGTCAGCCGTCATCCCTATCATCATTTTCCTCTGTTTGTGAAGTGTTTTTAACCTCTCTGATTGCTGTTGAAATTTGTCATTGAGTTTGACTGTATTCTTATGGTATGCATGGATTAGATTTTCTCCATTTTTAACCTGCCAAGGTTACTCTTAGCTTCTTGTATCTGTAGTCTAAATTCTTTCACATGTTAAAATTTATGCCATTACTTCTAGGTGGTCATTCATCCTACAGAGAGTCATATTATCTTGACATTTCTGATAGCACCCCTATAATGTCATGCAATATTCTTACTGTTTCTTGTATGTTCTGACAAATATTATAGAGTCATGCTCAAAACAAAGTATACATTTTAGGAGAAAATAGAGATCAATACTATTGTATAAGTTGTGTATTCCTTTCAGGAAGCAAACACTACTATGTTGTTTCTCTGCAACGTTTTTAAATAGTAATAATTATAGATCAATTTCTTCATGTGTGGTTGCAAAATAATGATAGTATAATTTATCGTATTTTTTTAAGTTGAACAACTTATATAAATTGAAAGGTCTCATTTCCAATATGTGGTTCCAAAAAGTTCAATTCATACAAGAAAGCAGGATAGGTGCTACTTTTTTGATATTTATTTACAATTTTTCAAAATAACAAGGTGGTTCAGTAACATTCTCTATGGCTATACATTTTAAAATTATAATTAAAAACTTTTAAATTAAACATTTTAAGTATATTCATGCATAGAAATTAATATTTTCTTTTCAAGCCAACAGATGTCCAGCTGCCTTAGTTAGCTCTGTTTCCTCCTAAACAAACGCTGCTGCCATTGGATATTGTAGCAGCCAATGATTTTTCACCATTTTCTCATGTTTTAAGGTTCCTAAGGACACCTTTTTCCCTAGGTAAGTTGTAGATTTTAGCTGCAGATTTTTTGTTCTACTATTCTTTTTGAAAGTATATAGGAAGAAGGAAGAGGTATTCTGCTCTTCTGCTCTTAATAATTTTTAATTGAACTTTTTAAATAAGTCAATGCTGATGTTACCATTATTGCTCCAATTGTTGCATGTCTTTCCAGGTACTTTCTATGTGGGTGTATGTGAAAATCTGACATTATGATAATGAATTAGTTATAGGGCAGGAGGGTGCCATAACCTCCACCATAGTAGATTGTATCCAAATATGCTCTGCTGAACTTAAGGAGTGGCCTTTGTTGTCTAAGTTTCTTTGTAGGTGAAAGAGAGGTTATATTTGAAAGGAGTTATGATAAATGATCTCTGGGGACCATATGGGTACTGTGTGCACTTTAAACCTTATTCAATAGGGAGGCAATTCATAAGAAATGAAAGATCTCTCATTATCAAAAACAAAACAGAGGTTTTCTTTCTATTTAGAAACATTATTTAGTATTTTCCCACTGTAAACTTGCATATTAACTTGAGCCCAATTTTGTATCTTTTTCTAGCCTGTTAGTATTCAATATAGAAGCACATGAAACAGGGAGTAGTAATTTACAGAAACATTTTCCAGTAAACATAAACCCTGTTGACATTGTGATTAACATAAAATCTCCCATTAGTAGTTTTCCGTGGAGATGACTGTACTTGTTGAATGATGATGCATTTGCTTCAGGTATCTGTAGGTCTTTTTGTTTCAAACAGACACAGACAATCAACCAAGACATATTGTTCCAAAGAAGAAATAAGCTAAACCATCTTCTTACCAAGGCCAGAGATAGACTGTTCTGATCTATTTCCACTCTGTAACTACTTAAAGCAATTCACTTTCATTTCCCACAAGAGGAGATTTGGAAGTGCATCAAAGACAAACTTGAAATTGGGTTAACCCCTTTGTTCTCAGTTTTTGCCACTTGGCATCAACTAGCTCTCTAAAGAAAGGAGAAACTTGGAGTGCCACTTATGATCTGATTTCAAAGGCTATAACTGAAACTCTTTGGGAAATAAGTGGTCATTTTTGTTCAATTATTTCTTGTATTTTTTTCTAATTAAATTAGTGGAAACCGTTTTTGCTTCTAGGCACTAGTTAAGGTCTTGTTAAACCAGATCATTGGAATCGTATTTTAATTTATATACTTTTTAACTTCAAAAGGAGCAGTCATTTTTATTTCATCTCCATTGCCTTGCCATCCACTGCTTCAATTTAATTTCAAATTTATTTTAAATTATGTGAACATGAGCTGTTCAGAAAATATTTGTGAAGGACACCTTTTTTCTTAGTTAAAAATTGAATATTCCTGCATACATTGTTAAATGTACCATAAACCACCAACTACATAATTAGCTTTAAGAACATGCAACATGATAAAGTGAAAATTAGTCATACATAGATTAAAATATTTATGGCAATGTGCTCACTCAACCCATTCCTGCTTTTTTCTAGTTGAAGACATTTGTGGTCTTAGAGGTTTATTTCCCATACTAGTTTGTACTTCCATTTTCAGTTCTAAATAGAATCTGTTTTCTCCAATTAGCCTTCACAGGAGTTATCTGTCATCCACTGTTTTTTTGGAAAGCAAGTTTGGCAAAAAATAAAAAAAATAAAGAGAGAGAGAGTTTTCTACATTTATGGGTGTGCAGAAGCAGTACCAAGGGCAGAAGTAGTTGTAGCGACAACTTCTTCATTCTTTTAATCCCTGCATTGGAGCTATGCTATACATTCTCCAGATTCCAAGATGTCAAGAAGTCATTGCTTTGACAGCTATAGGGGAGAAAAGGGAATTTATTTTCCTCAACCGTGTCAAGGCTAATGGCTTACACACCTATAACAGAACATAGATTAACATGAGGAAAGCATAACGAATTTATTTAACCAAAGTTTAATGTGACATGGGAGCCTTCAGAAGTGAAGACCCAAAGATCCAGGGCAAACTCTATTTTTATGATTAGGTTCAATAAAGCTGGACAGTTCTGTAGAAGTATGATTGGACAAAAATGGGGTATGACCTACTGGTAATAAACTTGGAGGAACTTAGCAAGGCTTATATGTTCAGATTCTTCTTGGCCTCTGGATCTAGGGTAGAACGCCCATGCAGTGAGGTTCTTATGACCTACTATCAGGTAAGGAAGGCCAAAGAATTTACTTATGACCATTCATCAGGGGAGAAAGGTGGGAGATGTTCAGAGTAACCTTCTTGCCTCTGCAGTTTTCTCAGTGACCAAATTGCCATATTGAGAAGTGTCTTGTTCTCAGCCCTGACACAGCATTTTAGGCAACTGATGATTTCTTGCTTTCAACATATGAAGAGTAGCCTAGAGCAAGTTGTATAAGTTCTGAGAAAGATTCTTTGAGATTCAGCCATTCAGCCTAGAATCTGGACTTTCAAAATTTTCACAGATTTTATAGGCAACAAGCTCTTGGTTAAAATAACTACACTTGGCCGGGTGCAATCCCAGCACTTCGGGAGGCTGAGGCGTGTGGATCACAAGGTCAGGAGATGGAAACCATCCTGCCTAATATGGTGAAACCCCGTCTCTACTAAAATACAAAAAAAAAATTAGCCGGGCGTGGTGGCAGGTGCCTGTAATCCCAGCTAACAGGAAGGCTGACGCAGGAGAATGGCGTGAACCCCGGGAGGCGGAGCTTGCAGTGAGCTGAGATCGCCCCACTGCCCTCCAGCCTGGGCGACAGAGCGAGACTCAGTCTTGAAAAAACAAAACAAAACAACAACAAAAAACAAAAACAAACAAACAGACAAACAAACAAAACTAGGCTTTTATGAACTAAATCTTGACTGATCCAGGCACTTAAAAGCACTGGGATTCACATGCACTCATTCACATTTTTTACTACTCATTTGCAGTTTCTTTTCACCCTCAAATGCCTATTTGGGTATTATTTTCACTTCTGATAGAAGAGGACATGTGTCTAAAGTCCAATTTTTACCACATTTCTGTCATATTAGGATTAGTGCCATGCTCTTCCTGTGTTCTTTCCTGCTTAGAAGTGTTTTTTCTCTAATTAAATAAAAGAGATAGTATAAACAAATGGGGAAAAAAAACAAATACAACAACAACAATAACGACAAATACAGAAACATACATACCAAAATAAGACACATCTGCTGACCAATTTACCATCTATATATTGGTTAATTGGAAATAGCATTCCCATTAATTATGTAATAATTTAGTACCAGTTTGTGATCTAAAGCAAAGAGCTTTATGTTCACTTGTCAAAATGCCCTGAAATAAAGCACCACGGACTGGATCTGCAAAAAGAAGGTCTTTATTCATGGTTAGCAGGAGGGTCATTGTGAAAGTAAGACTCCCCTGCCTTCTGGCCATAAGCAAAGGTTTTATATGTCTCAGGGAAGCAGGTTGATCAGGAGTAAAAGGAACAAGGAAAAAAGAATGTGATGTGCCAGGCAAAGTAGTTTTCTAAAGCAAATGGCCTCAGGGTAAGCAAGGCTGGAAAAGTATATGCTGCAGGTTCAAGTTAACAAGGAAAACTGACAGTTTAAGCAAGTTTTGAGTTTGGCACGTACTTTAAGGCTAGAGAAATATTGTTGTAGGTGTTACACAAAAGATCTTCATATTTATAATCTGGAACAATATATCCGTTTGTTCTGGGTGTCTTAAAAAGGTACATACCTTTGTCAAAACTAAGACACTGTACACTTAAGAGCTGTACTTTCTATTGTAAGTAAAACCTCAAAAGAAAGAAAATTAAAATGGTGAATTCTAATTAATGATGTGCATACTATTTATGGAAAGCTGAACTGACTTCTAAATTTTAATTTTTAGACATCATAAATAGAATAATAGATGGATATAATGTTGCATAGATTATATTAGTAACATGCAGTACCATGTCAATGGTAGACACTTGACAGATATATTAATGGACACTGTAAAATTATTTCAACTATGCTACATATTTGAAAATTTTTCTAAAAATATTTGGAAAAAGAAGCAGCATTTTAAGAAAGACAGAGGGTGCAATAAGAGTTTATGAATACTATGATGTTTGAAATAAAAAAATAAATAAGTGATTATATTTTCTTAGGAAGCAGGGCAGGCATGCAGCATGTGTAGGAATGATATAGCAAAAGAAATTAACTTCACGATCAGCTTTAAATAACCTTGGTTATTTAACCTTGGCGAAATCAAATACATGATATAATGAAGATAATATATCTCATGACTTCTCATTGTATTGTGAAGATTAATGTTCAAATTACTATGCAAATATACATTTGTATTACTCAAATTAAGGATTACATTTAATAACACTCTAGCAACACACAAATTCAATGCTTGCCTTTTAAGCACAGATTGGAAGGTCAGAAAGTGAAATTCTCCTCTCTGATCCTTGGAGGTTTCTTTCCCTTCCATTTTAGGCCGGCGTTAATTGCTGATAAATGGTGGCAATTTGTTAGAAGCAGACAGTATTGTATCTAACCAGTGGAGCAGAGTAAAGCATTGTTAAGCAAAACCCCTCAGATTTGATGGAGATCTGTAAAAAACAGTATAAAGGCAGCACTGAGGTTAGTCTCCATTAGAAAAAGGAAGAGACCAATACAATGATAATACAATATGTCCCGCTATTAACTAAGACACATGAAAGTGAGATACCAGCAATATCCACAGGGTTATTGACAGAAATGAGGACTAGTGCATTCATTTCCTATTGTGGCATAATGGAGGACCACCCCATAGCAGCTTAGAAGAAACATTTTTATTACATGACAGTTTCCATGGTTCTGGAGTGCTGCACAGGTAAGCAGGGACTTCTGCTCAGGGTTTCTCTGGTTGAATTCAACGTTGGCAGGGACTACTATCTCATCTGAAGTTCAAAGAGTCCACTTTTCAAGTTGGCATGTTTTTTGATAGAATTCAGTTCCTTTTGGTTGTAGAACCAAGGTCCCCACCTCCCGCGCCCCCCCCCCCCTTTTTTTTTTTGGTAGTTGTCGGACAGAGTTTGTTCTCAGCCCCTAAAGGCTGCTTTCAGATTCTATCCACATGCCCTGCCACAGCATGGGAACTTGGTTCTCCAAAGCCAGCAGGAGAGTCTCCCTCTAGTCTGCTATAATGGATGGAGACTTATATAATGTCACATAATCCAAGAGTTACTATCCTTTTATATTTAGAGGTTCTACCCAGACTGATGCAGAAGGGAACACACAGAGTGTCCATCAGGTGGCAGGAATTTTAGGGGCCATCCTAGAATTCTGCTGACCACAGACAGGTATGTTGACAAGAAAATTAATATTGTCTTAATTTCAAAATTTCAAAAAAACAAGTTCATCCAGCTTGTCAAAAGATGATGACTGATTCATTAATAGAGTGAAAAAATAATACTAAAATACTAGGTCATTAATGATGCCAATAAAATAGGGAAAATTTGAAGTGAACAAACTGAGAACATTGGGACTCAAAAAGGAAAATAACAGAAGCAAATTACAGCTCTGGAGTTTTGCAACCTATACAGAAACCTTAACAGAGGCAGTAAGACATTCAGAAAAAAAGAACATCATGATCCAAACACATCACTGGGCTCATGAAGGATGTCATCACTAGTCTGCACGGTAACTAAAGAATAAGAGCTCAGTATAGTCTGAACAACATCAAAATGCATTAATTTACTCATGTTTTCATTTACTTAGTAAACTTGTCTTCATTTGTGTCCATATGCCTATCACCAATTGTCATCTTTCTGGTGTTATATAAAAGTGAAAAAGACAGGTCTCACTCTCAAGAAGATCCCTTCCTACTGTGAAAATACTCAAGAGAAAAAAAAATGGCAACAGCAGGGAGTAAATGATGGTGGTGTGCATAGGACTTTCTAGTGCATAAGAGGCGCGCTTAACATGAGCATTGCTTGTCTGTGTCATTTTCCTAGCATTGATGACACTTTGTTGCCCTAAGTTCAATTTGGACTGGGCTGAGAAAGGAACCCATGATCAGCATTACAAACAGAGTGAAGTACACATTTAAAGGGATAAAATTATGACAGGCTCTTGGGGAAGCAAACAAATGGATAAAAAATAGTACTTTGGTTTGACTAGAACACACCTGGTATGACAGGAACTGGCAAAGAAGTGGATCAATAGGGAAGATTTATATGTGAATGATAAGTGATTATGAGAGATCTGGATAGGAGTCTTGTCTCCATCAGTAGCAAGGTAGATTACTTGGGCTAATTAATCAAGCTTTCCAATTCTCAGTTTCATCATCTTAGAATGGGGTAATATATATCACGAGGATATAGTAGACCAAAAGAGATCAGGAATACACAGCTTGTACTCATGCTCAGCACTGAGGGACTCTTCAGTACATAGCAACTATCATTAATCAGGTAATTAGTTAAATTCTAGGCAAAGGGAATTAAAAAAAAATCCAATAAGTGGTTTAAAGCAGGTGGGTGTGGTGTAGGTGGTAGCAAGATGAGATTTGTATTTTAGAAATATTGCTCCATCAGGAGCTTAGAACATTGATTAAAGGGAATTGAGGCTGGAGGCAGGGAGATGAGTAAGGGCATAGTAATGGGGTCTTTTGCTAAGTTCATGGCAGTAAAGACAGTGAGCAGAGGACGGATTTGAGAGACATTTAGAGTAGAAACATTAAGAATCGATGATGAACTGAGAAGGAAAAACATCAAATGATTCTTAAGGTCTCACATTTGGCTGATTAAGTTAATAGTAGCATTATATACCGATGAAATAAGATGTGTTATAAGGAAAATAAAAAAGATAACATTTAAATTCTTATTCAACTACTCCCACTCCAAATAATTAAAGGGGGATGGGAAGACTACGCTGAATTTTGCAGGGCTGGAAGCTGTGAAAGAGGTGATTGGCAGAAAGAGGCAGAAACTGCCAATGAGGGTGAAAAGAGAGCCCTCAAGAGCCAAAATAGGAAGTAGATTGTGATTTTGAATGTGTGGATGTAAAACATCCAGGATCTTGGAGGGGGATGGTGGCCGGTTTTGGTCCAGGAAGGCTGGCTCGACCGGGTACTGCCAAATTCTGCAAAGCTCCTTGTATCCAGATATAACACGGAAACAGCCAAAGCAGCCACCTGCGTACAAACCTCAGGCTTCAGACAATAAATGTTCCTGCAGGGCACAGCGTAAGCTGAGATTACAGGACTGAGCCACAGGGTTCTGGAAAATTTACTTCCTCTGAACTTTATCAGGCCCTGGAGAGGGAGAGTCCTCAGAAGGGCTGAGTTTTAATTTTTGATACCACAGATAAGAAAGATTATTTAAATTAGAAAGATAAAAATAATGCATGTTTCTATATAATCTGATATAGGTGAAACATAGTGGAAATAATTTTGCTAATCGTGTGTAAAACTGTGAGAAGTATGTAAGAAAATGTTGCAAGACCTTGAATGACATGTGTGGGAAGAGACATTTGGAATAGAGACATAAATTTGGAGGTCATCAACATATAGGTAAAAAGTAAGATGTTGGGAATATATTAAATCATCCAAAGTTAAAGAACGTAGATTGAGACTTGAAAATGGCCACAGACAGAAGATATCTTTTCTATGTGTGTGAGAAAGAAGGGCTACCAAAAAATAATAAGACCAAAAATTACAGTCTTACCACTATCTTATAAATAACTTTCCTGAGAAGAAGGAAAACCAGAGAACAAAGATGCTTTAGGTCACTTTAAATGAAAGAGTCTTAAAAAATGAAGAAGGATCCATGGTAAGAAGTAAGAAATTATTGAAAGGTGAACTAAAATAAGTATGTATGTCCTGAAAAATATCAATTGGATTTAGTAATTAGACTCCAATGAGACGAGTCTTAATTTATTTCATAGCTTAATTTAAACTGTTATAGATTATGTTAGCAGTAAAATGTCATTTTAGAATATTGTGCCTAAGTTTTCTTCCCAATAAGTTTAGAAGATAGGACGTTCTTCTTCATCATGTTTATGATTCAGAAATCAGAGCCTTGATGAAACATGGTAATTTTTTCAGTGTCTCACAATTAATAAGAGACAGACCTTGGCTTTAGATGTGTTTTAGTAGATCTCAAAGGAGAAAGGCTACTGGAGGAGGTTCAGGTTGCTGTGAAATCTGCTCTGCAACTTGGGCCATATGAGGCAGAAGATCTAAAGAGAATGGGGATGCTAAGTGGTGTCTCAGGCCACTTAGCATCCTCATTAAAAAAACAAAACAAAACAAAACAAAAAACTGCTAGAAAGAGCTCTAGGACTCTGAGGCAACATAATGCTCTCCATGGCAGAATCAATCACTCTTTTTTTTTTTTTTTTTTTTTGAGACGGAGTCTCGCTCTGTCGCCCAGGCTGGAGTGCAGTGGCGGGATCTCGGTTCACTGCAAGCTCCGCCTCCCGGGTTCACGCCATTCTCCTGCCTCAGCCTCCCAAGTAGCTGGGACTACAGGCGCCCGCCACTACGCCCAGCTAATTTTTTTTGTATTTTTAGTAGAGACGGGGTTTCACCGTCTTAGCCCGGATGGTCTCGATCTCCTGACCTCGTGATCCGCCCGCCTCGGCCTCCCAAAGTGCTGGGATTACAGGCGTGAGCCACCGCGCCCGGCCTATCAATCACTCTTGAAAGCAGCAGTTTCTAGTTACCGCGCATTAAGTAACAAGTGGTGTTTTCCATAATGAGCTGAGATGTCACAGGTTCACTGAGTCATTCGGTTGAATGGGAACAGCTATTATCTATTGTGTGTTGAAGATGCAGGTCCAGAATTAGGCCCAAACAAATCCAGAAGTTAAAAATAAATTATACAGGCCGGGCGCGGTGGCTCACACCTGTAATCCCAGCACTCTGGGAGGCTGAGGCGGGTGGATCAAGAGGTTAGGAGATCGAGACCATTCTGGCTAACACAGTGAAACCCCGTCTCTACTAAAAAACACAAAAAAATAGCCGGGAGTGGTGGCAGGCACCTGTAGTTCCAGCTACTCGGGAGGCTGAGGCAGGAGAATGGCGTGAACCCGGGAGGCGGAGCCTGCAGTGAGCCTAGATCGCGCCACCGCACTCCAGCCTGGGCGACAGAGCGAGACTCTGTCTCAAATAAATAAATAAATGTAAATTATATAAATAGGTGGCTTAGATCCCATAGCATCTAGCTGTTGAATTGGTGCCTCTTCCTCAGCTTGCACTTATGGACACATGATGGCTCTCCTAGGACAATCACCAAAGAAGGAACTAATTGGGTCTGGCTCATCAATGGACTGATACAATACATTGATGGCAGCAGTAGACCTAGTCAGGGACTAGGCCTATAATATGATGATAAAAGGATATGAACACATTTGAGAGTGGTAAGGGTATAGACGTCCTCTTTGAATTCAGGGAGAAGCAACCCAAGGTACAGGTGAAGATGGAGTCCCAGATGGTAAATAGTAAATAGGTTGCCTGGTTGATCGAGTACTAGGAGGAAAAACAAATGAAAAGAGAAAAGAAAATGTTGAGAATGGTGATGCATGTAGACTGTGTTTCTGAGTTCTAAATATGCAATCTTTCTGCCGACCAGAGATTATCCACTAAAAAAGAGGCACATGACAGCCAAGTGAATAGGATGCCTGGCTAGCTTAAATGTTAGCCAGCCTCCCTCTTTAACCATTTAAGTGCTGCTGCAAAAGTCTCATGAATGAACTAACCATGGCTGCTGCTTTTGAGGTGACCCTAAGCTAAGACAAATAGGCTTTTTAAAGGCAGGTCCTCTGAGCCCTCCTGAGTAACTTGTTTTTGTGACTGTCTGTTGTTAATGTCAGTGAGTTGATGACTCTGGTCTCACATAAAAGTTGGTTCTAATGTATCAACCCCCATAGTTTCTCAACTCTTTCTAATACTATAGCAAGGCATTTTTGTCAAGTCCATCTAGGTCATTATCATACCCAAGCTTCAGTAAGTCATTCCGGCAACATGTTAGCACAGCTCCAATATCCTGGCTAAAAAATTAAATCCTGTATGATGGGAGAGTATAAGTGAGTTTTGCATTTTTTTTTTTTTGCCATCCAACTTTACATTCTGCCACATCTAAAAAATATCTTTTGAAAATTCTCTATATTTTCATAAATTTCATCTCAATACATGATAGCAATGCCCTAGACTTCCTCTGGAGTTTAAGTTACTTCTTACTTGATACAGACTCTCTCCATGGAGGATGGTGTGGAGGAAAAGTTAAATATTAAATTTGGACTCAATTAAACGTGGACACAAACAATGGTCACCAAGTTCTGGAACAGGCTGTATGAGCCCCTTGAGGCATTCATCCAGCACTGTTTCTGAGAAATCTCTATTTCAATCTATTCCTATATTTTAGTTATTGAAAAACAACAGACAATCACAAAAACAAGTTGACCTTTTAGTGTTCCTTGAGCCCAGTCGGGAAGGACCCTTGTGACTGGGCCTCATGCCAAACAACTCGTTACAAAAAGAACTAGGGTCCCAGACTGTGCCGAAGCTTCATGAGATCTCTCCTGTCTGTGCACGGACGAGTGGCCGACTCTGGAGCCCAGGGTGTTGCTTCCCGGTCTGGTAGTGAATCGTCCATAGTCTGGTGAGTGTAGTGTCTGACTCTGGAGCCCAGGCTGATGCTTCCCGGTCTGGTGATGAATCGTTCATAGTCTGGTGAGTGTAGTGTCTGACTCTGGAGCCCAAGCTGTTGCTTCTCGGTCTGGAGATGCTTCCTCCACAGTATGGTGAATGTAAATATATACATATCTTTTCCCTTCTCCCCTTCCCATATCAATTTGCTTATTATATCATTTGCTTATTATACCTGTATTGCCATATACTTGGGATAAAGGCTGTTTACCCTTAAAATTATTGTGTGTGCCTTTTCTTCTCCCCTCATGCATCTCCCGCACAGAACAGTTGGTCTAAGAACAATGTGAATTATTCTCTTTAGTAAATTGGAGAAAGGAAGAGGACAAGTGTCATTTGGTAAAGCAACTGCTTCAAATGTGATCTTTGAAAGGTTTTCAGATAATGGGAACCTGCTCTTGTTCACAAAGAAATAAAGTAGCTACTTACACAGAAGTTTCAAGAAAACCTGTGCATTCAAAATTCTCAGAGTCTGCTGTCCAAATTTTCACATACCAGAATAAGGGTATGTACTCATACCAATCATGACACTATTTTGACCTATGATATATATCATGGCTTAGCATTCAATCTCCTGTTAGCTTTCCTATCCTTACATTTGATTCCTGGCCTGATTTTCACCACAGTCAGGCCTGAGGCTATAAGAGTTTTATGCCTCCTTAAACGCTACTAAGAACTCCTCTGGTTTTAGAGCATGTTATGGCTTGAGAGTTGGCTGACCTAAACCTGTCATTTCCTTTTCTTAAGGTTTCCAAAGCAAGCAAATAAAGTCAGGCAATTTCACAGTTTTTATAATCATCTTTGGCCTCATAATGTTCAAGTGTCACATGTATTACTTAATCCAAATTATAATAAGAAGAGAGGTGTCACAAAGACTGATAAAAGATGGAGAAAAGGAAATATCATGGCAGATACTACAGTTGACAAGATGTTAAGCATAACTTCAAAGCATCGGGTTTTTATTTCACTGTACTTTTATATATTAAAAATATAGTTTACATACAGAAAATATACTTTTACAGTATATAATATTTGAAGGTTAAAAAAAATATATAGTTGTGTAATCATGACCAAAACCAATACAAAGAACAATTCCAACAGTCTCCAAAATTCTTGCATGTCCCCTCCTCCCAATCTCAGTCACTCAAAACACTTTCCTTACACTTTTATCTTTTCCAGAATGTCATATAAATAAAATCATACCATATGTAGCCTTGAAGGATGGCTTCTTTCCCTTGCCTTTGAGCAGTTGACATTCTCCCATGTTGTAAATATCAATGATTTAGCCTTTTTAAATTTCAGAGTCATTTCCACTCTATGAATATACTTCAGTTTATCAATTCACCAGTTGAGCAATATTTGGATTGTTTCTACTTTTATTACAACATGTTTTCCAATTACATGAAATGGACAAATTTTTTAAAAAATACACACCCAGTCAAAAATAAATTAAAAATATAAATAGTTACATATCAGTTTTTAAATTTCATAAAGAAAACTCTAGGTCCAAATATGTTCACTAGAGACTATGTAAATAGTTTTCAAAAATAATACTGATCTTATTATATAAGTGTCAGGTAATAGAAAAGAGGGAAAACTTTCTGATTAATTTTATGAAACAACAAAAAAAATGATAGCAAAATCAGACAAGGATATTAAAGTACAGAAAAATTAAAGGTTAATATCTTTCACGAACACAGATAGAAACAATGTTGTAAACTATCATAAACAGAAGATTCTTGCAAAACAAAAGTAACAATATACAGAAGAAAGAATATATAATAGAGAAGTGCAGCTTGGTTTAGAAACATAAGGTTTCAACATCTGAAATTAAATCATGATTTACCTTATTATCACACATTAGTGGGTTAATATCAAATGTACCAATGTGCTTAAATGCATTATTATGTTAAAATACAAGGAAGAACTTGGTTCATCTTAATAGGTACAGAAAATATTACTTGACAAAATTCAACATTTGTTAATCATATTTTTCTTAATGGCAAGAAAATTCAATAAAAATATTATATCATCTCTGCCTTTCCATACTAGTGCAAAAACAAGATAAAGTTGTCCATCTCAACAATTCTATTGTTGATATAGTAAGATTACCAACATTATATTAGTATTCTTACTCTAGGAATTATTGCAATTAAAATAAATAAAATGTACAAATTTCAGAAATAAATATATTAACCTCAGAGAGAAAAAAAACAAAACTAATATTAGCAGATACGTGATTACATATGCACAAAATAAAAAAGAATCTAAACATTTAGAATTAACGTTAATGTCATTCAACATTCGAAAATCAATTGAATATTTATATATTAACACCAAACAACTAGAAAATAAATGTAAAAAATATATTTTCAATATCATTGAAAAATCAAACACATATAATTTTAAAAAAAATTTTTTTTGAGATAGAGGTTCGCTCTTGTCTCCCAGGCTGGAGTGCAGTGGCGCAATCTCGTCTCACTGCAACCTCTGCCTCCCGGGTTCAAGCAATTCTCCTGCTTCAGCCTCCTGAGTAGCTGGGACTACAGGTGTGCACCACCACACCCGGCTAATTCTTTTTTTTTTTTTTGTATTTTTAGTAGAGACAGGATTTCACACTGTTAGCCAGGATGGTCTCGATCTCCTGACCTTGTCATCTGCCTGCCTCGGCCTCCCAAAGTGCTGGGCTTACAGGCATGAGCCACTGCTCCCATCCCCAGGATTTTAAACAACAATAAATAATGCAGAAGAGTTCCTGTAGCTTCACATGCTTACTGGTATTCTGTAATGTTTTTAAATTAATTTAGAGGGTGTGCAATGGTATTTCATTGTAGTTTTAATTTTGTATTTCTCTTACTTCTAATTGTATTGAGTATATTTTCATGGACTTTTGTGCCATTGTTTTTCTATATATTCCTGCATGGCATCAGTTCAAATCATTTGTCCATTAAATAAATATTTAAAATATAGTAAACATAATAGCTGTGTTAATAAATAAAATGTATACGAGGCACTACATAAAGATGCCTAGAAAAAATCTTACCTATGTATTGAACCAACAATCAATGATAGAACACAGAAACACACAAAAAATGGAACTTAGTATTTGGAGCCACATTTATCGTGGAGCCCTTTGCCTATTCTGAAAGACGACTGAGAGTTTGCAGAGGGCTCTGACAGCCTCCATGTCTAGGGAAACAAAAGTTCCTTTCTGATATTGGAATGCTAAGATACAGACATTAATATAAATATAATTCTGTTTCAGTTTAACTTCAAGAAGGTAAAAGAATATTCACAATTTTAGCTCAAAACTGGAAAATATAAAGAATATATAATAGATTTGAAAAAAAAGGTATAGATTTGTAGTGGAAATAGCCTGCAATACAAATTTGAAAATTAACAAACTAAAAGGTTCTTCTTAATTCAATACAAATAATGCAACAAGAGCAAACCAGTGAAAACTTCCGAAGACAAAGTAAGAAACAGTAGATAGTGAGACTAATATAACCATATTCTGAGAGAGCATAAAAATCTGGCACAGAAATAATATTTGATGACATAATGTAACCAGGCAGTTTAGATCCAAAATGCGTTTTTAAACCTTTTTCCGCTTCTCTAGTCTTAGCTTTGAGATGTGTTTCAAAATTCTTCCCCTCCCTTCCTGGCACTGCGCTTGGTTATCTAATTATTTGCTTGCTTAAAATTTCCAGTGGTTAATCTTGAAATGAACCAGGCCTGGATACTCAGCTGAGGAATTCCCTCCCATTTAGAGATCACTTCAAGTCAATTACTCTACAAGCCAGTCATTGTTGAGATGGTGTCAGCCTGTACTTCAGATGGACACTAACTCAAGATGGCTATTCGAGCAAGACATGTAGACCCCATATCCTGGACCATTCTTGTGTGCTTCTCATACTTGGTTTCCCTTCTTAAACTCATTTGAAATTGTGTTTTAGAGGCATGAGCCCGGCCATTTCCAAACTGCTATTTGATTAACAAAGCTGCTTTCCCTTCACTAAACCTTACTTTTTAATAGGCTTCTCAGGCAGTGAGCACCGGGACTTGTATGTGGTTACAATACTAACTAAGAATTTCCCAATCGTCATCAAAGACTGCAACTCAAAGATTCAAATTATGAAATCCATCTAGGAAAAACTTTTTTTACAAGAGATGTGAATGTACAATCACACTGGAATAACTTACCCAAATTTTCCATCCTATCAGATCAACCATAAATCTAGAAAAAGAATGACAAAACTATTTTCAGACACTAGATTGCACCCAGATCAGGACTGTGATCCTTAAAAGAAGAAAAAGACATACACACTCTCTGTTAGCTGGGGTGTTGTGCTTCAATGTAGTATGCAGTTTTGCTGAACTGAAAAGGCAAGATTTGGTGCTACTGAAGCTAGAATTTATGGGCAGGATATGACAGAGAACATGACTACACAGTGCTGAAGCCCCAGAGGGTAAGCAGGGGTTACCATTTGTTCTTGGCTGAGGAATTAGCTGCACGCAGGCAGGGTGAATGTTCATGGGGCTTTTGGATGAGTTATTTCTGAGGGACTGGGAGCCAAGCAGAGGTGTCAGAGATCATGCAGGCCTGGGAGGTGCAGGGATCCTGTCCCAGCCTGGTTAGAGAGACCTCACTGTGTACATTGCACATTCAGCAGAAACCTCAGAAAGGTCATGCCTTAGCAGTAAAGACTTACACCCTTGGATAAGAAAATTGACTAAAGACATAACAAAAATAAGCAAGTTACAACAAAAATCAAAATCACACTGAAAGGGTTAAAAAGGTCTACCAGTAACTTTGTTTTAGACAAAATAAAAACATTAATTAATAAGATATAAAAGAACCAGATGGAACATACATATAATATCTGATATTTAAAATTTACTGTATAAACATAACAGCAGATTGGAAATAACAGAAATAAGAGTCAATAAACTTCTAGATATATTGGTAGGAATTGTCTGACTGGCAGGAATGAGAGAAAATAGTCAAAGATAAAGAAACAGAGCATCACTGATACTCAGTAAGGAAAGAAAGGGAGTTGGGGGAATAAAGAGAGAGGGACAGAGACAGAGGCAAAGGGAGACAAATATTTAATGAAGCAAAGTCAAAATGTTCCAAAATTTAAAATTAAAACATCAAAGCTCTAATTCCAAGATGGATTAACTGTAAGCATTTTAAATACAAATAATGCCATACCTAGACACGTTATAACTGAATGCCGAACATAAAATAATAAGAAAATTTTTGAAAATGCCTGAAGAGGGCTAAAAAAGACGTATTATACGTAGGAAAGCAACTAAATGAATGATGGTTTACTTTTGAGAGGTTAATGAAAAAGCGCAAAGTGCTGAACAATGAGAGGACAAACTCAGGATCGTATATTTAATGAAAATATCCTTAGAAAATGCAAGTAAATAAAGGCATTTTCAGATAGATCACATCTGTGAGGATTTGAAGCCAGTTGACCTTCACTAAAACAAATGCTCTAGGGAGGTTTTTAAGATGAATGAAATGGAACCTGATGGACATTTGAATGTAGGGTAAATATTAAAGGACGCTAGTGACAGTAAATATGCACAAATATAAAATACCATTTGTTCTCCTAATTTATTTAAAAGACATTTGCATGTTTGAGACAAAAAGTGTACCGTGGGGTTTAAAATATACATAGAGGCAGGGTGCAGTGGCTCACGCCTGTAATCTCAGCATTTTGGGAGGCCGAGGCGGGTGGATCCTCTGAGGTCAGGAGTTTGAGACCAGCCTGGCCAACATGGTGAAACCCAGTCTCTACTAAAAATACAAAAAAATAGCTGGACGTGGTGGCGGGTGTCTGTAGTCCCAGCTACTAGGGAGGCTGAGGCAGGAGAATCACTTGAACCTGGGAGGCAGAGGTTGCAGTGGGCCGAGATGGAGCCATTGCACTCCAGCGTGGGCAACAAGAGTGAAACTCTGTTTCAAACAAACAAATTAATTAATTAATTAAATATACATAGAAGTAAAATCTACAAATTCATAGCAAAATAGGCAGTGATATTTAGAATTACATCATTGAAGGGTTTTCTTTATATTTCATGTAAGTTGTCATGACATTAATTCTAAATTATTTGTGTCAATATTTTCTAAATTCTCACAAAGTTGATACTTAGCTAATACCATTTTAGTTACATAGGACTTTAGTTCATTGTATATGGTGACAGTCTTAAACCTTGAGATGTACTTGTCTCACAGGACCTGGTTAAGAAAAGCTACCCTAAGTTAAAAAAACAAGACATTCTATTCTTACTCTACTTAATCTTCCTGTGGAACTTCATTCATTTCTACAGTTTCAACTAGTATGCATATATTCCTATCTCTTAAATAGTGAACACCAGCTTACCTACTGAATATTTATCTTTGCTAATTTCACTTCAAAATCTAACATATACAAAACTTGCCATGTCATTTTCGTCTCCAATTATACTAAGTTTAGGTGTCTTACCTCAGGGAATGGCAACACTCTCCATTTGCTGCACAAGCCAGCTGCATAGGCAGCATCCTTTACCTGCCCCTCACCTATCCCTCATTTGGGATGTCACAGCAACAAGACCTTGGCCATATAACAATTGTTATAACAGTTATATATATATATATATATAAAACACTTATATATAACACTTATATATAACATATAACAACTAACACAATATCCGTGTTAGTCTTCTGAGGCCATAGAGCTGCAGTGTGGATGCATAGCTGCGTAATGGTAAAAAAAAAAAAAAATAGAATAAGAACTCAACTTACCTGTTTAACCCTGAATTATTATTATACAAATCCTCATAACAATGTGATATAATTTCTAATAGTGCAGAGACTACAGGCAATAGAAGGAACCCAGCTGGGACATTTAGGTGTATTTACTCCCCTACATTAACTCTGTTTACAATACTTAGGGAAGTTGACATGTCTTTACTAGAGAGAGAAGAAAAATTGTTCTTTAATGAGAACCCCCAGATATGCTATGGTTCTCTTCAACATATTGTTTTTGTTTAGTTTAGTTATTATTTTTTGTCAGATAAACCTATTTTATAATGATGTTTGGGATTGTTTTGATGTCCTATACAACATTTACTTCATCAAGCAAGTTGCAAATTGACCTTCCACTAGATGAAAACATCAGATGTTCAGCTTATAAGAAAGAACATTACAGGATCCTCAGAATGGGAAAGTATGCATCCTTCAGACAAATCGATTAATTAATGAGTACCCCAGATGGGAGTGGTTATGGTCAATGTAAGGGAAATTTTACCTTGGTACAGAAATATTTTAACCATATATATTTTATCCAATTACGTAAATGAATACACTGTGAATAAGAAATAACTGGGGATATATAAGCCCAACTCAACATGCCTTGATTTTATCCCGTGTTCTAACATCTTTTGATATAAACTTGTTTACAATCCCCAGAGTAAGAAGATTTTATGGGTTCTATAAAAATTAATTAGCCAAAAGAAAAATCTAATTGGTTAAGGGATACAAGAGACATTAACACCTATTAGATAGTTCAAGTCCTAGTGGTCGCAGATGAATCAATTTGTCTCTTTTCTATGTTAAATAGGGTAATCAAGGTTTATAGGACTGCACTGTAAACATAAAGGGTCAGTAACACCTTTTCAGACACATTTGTCCTTGCACTAAATTATGACCTTTAATTGGTAAATCTTAACTAGACTGTAAAATGAAGATCTTGATGCTTGGATGAAGGGGCCAAACAAATTATAGTCTGTTGGCAAAACCCTATGACATTAGACGGGGGATAAATCTCTTTCTTGTTGGGGGCAAATGAAGGTTTGTGTGAGGTTAAACTTCTTGCCAAAAGAAAAAAATACCTTTTCCCCTCATTGTACCTGTAATGGGCTTGACCAGAAATACTGCTGTTCCTGGGTTGATGAGAGTGATGTTACTACTGGTGTGACTCATTTGGTCAAATGCCTTTTATGGAGGCTACAGTGAAAACTTGCCAAACAGAGGAGCCCAGAGACCTTATACTTGGCTAGAATGAAAGAGAATGGAACTACTGGTTTTGCTTTTACTCATGCTGTTAGCCTCTCAGAAAAATGCAGAAGGAAAGTTGAAAACAGGTGAGCTGACACAGTCTTATCAGCAAAGTCACGCAAGGCTATATAGCAGCCTGATTTTCAAAGTGGTTGCAACGAACTGACAAAAACCTACCATCTCACAGGGAAGTATTGCACAGCCTTCCAAACTCTGTGATTAAAGAGTGACATCAGCTTCTGACAAAACTGCATCAAAATCTACTGATATCACAACTGCTGCTGCTGGTTTAACCGTACATTGGGCACTTCATGCTTTATCCCTACATTAAGAGTGGTTGCTGAATTGGACCACCATGATTGACTGACCACTTATAAAATAAGACTAAAACATATCCTGAAGTGACAGCTGAAGACAGGCTATTTGAAAGACTGAATAGAAAAGAAAATTTAAAAAAAGATTGCTTACCTTAAAACCCCAGCCCAGAAATAAAACCTAGTTATTTAATGAGTGGGTTATGGATAAACATTCAGATTTGATAAAACCCCAGATATCCTGATAATCTATATAAAAGAGAAATTTCCAAATGGGATGAAAATGATATAGCACTCTGTTTGATATGTTAACCACTGTATCAACTAGAAGTGGTTAAGAATGTTATGGGGTGATGCTATCTTTCTGAATTGACTTTGGAAGATCCAAGTACCTTTTTACAAAACAATTCCCCCTCTTTTAAATAAGGCATATAAAATCTCAATATCCTTCTCATGTAGAACTTACTCCTTGTGATATAATTGATCTCACTCCCTTGTGTATCTGTATTATAGGTTGTTTGCACTGCAATTTAAAATGTATTCTTTAATCATATGTTTTTGGCTAATTCACTGATGTATCAATAATTGAAAAATGTTGGAGATAATGTAATTATGAATAAAATAGTCATGATATTTTGTCCTCTTTTAGAATTGTTACATTTTTATTTGATATTTGAAATTTAGTCACATTATAAATATTACAAAACATAGGTATCTTAAAAGTGCCTGATAATTTTAATCCAGTGAAATAAGAAATTGCAGTATTGGATCTGGTTGTTCATTTGAAAGCCCTGCTTGAGTGCAGGTTTCTGTGCAACGGTAAGAAAAATAATTTAAGAATGTGGTACATCCATTGAAATATGACTTATTGTTAGAAAAATACCCATAGCAATGTGCCATAATGTTTAATAGTTCATACAAACCTGCTAATTGACAGAACAGAACTGGGACTTTCAGAGACATTATTTCTATTGTGCTACCTTGGCTTGGAATTCTTAAGGATGGTGAAAATCATTTATCAAAAATTGAAGCAGCTCTTTAACAGGAATTACCATTTATATTGTGGTTCTGGGTCTCTTCATTATTTTGTATTATTTTTTGTTAAGTAAATAGCATTTTGCAGACATTTTTGAAAGACATTGGGGAAAAAAGTCACAATGGGGAAGAACTTACATGAAATAAATTGGGAACACTGCAGCCAGGAAATGAAAGAGGCATCAGGGATAAGGCAGGAAATTATATCTCCAGAGAAACACTTGTGAAGGCTCATCAAAATACTGAGATTTATTCTTATGATTATAGAGCATCCTCCCCTTACACACCTTATAGCCAACTAGAGTAAGACACCAATATAATAACAGTGGATTATAGGTAAAAGAGAAAGAAGACACAGACTCTGTCTGAGAAAAACGATTAGAAAACCCAATGTCAAGAGGGAGACAACAACAAGGACACTAGAGAAATTTGTAGATTTTAGCACCTACAGCTACAAAAAAAGACTTTTAACCCAACCCAGCTCCTACCCAGATTAGCATAAAATTTCATGCTAAATGCCTGTTTATGTCAGTTCCCATTACCCAATACATCATGTCCAGCTTTTAGGAAAAAATTGCAAAGCATGGTAAAAGACAAGAAAAAATATAATCTGAAGAGAAAAGCACCCCTGACAACCAGACTCAATAATAAACAGATGTTGAAATTATAAGAGGGATAATTTAGAATAACTGTAATTACCATGTTAAAAGAAATAATGGGACAAAAAGTAATGAGAGAAAACAGATGGATGATGTGAGCAGAGAGATAGAAATTCTAATAAATGAATAGATAAAGTCCTAGAACTCAGCCAGGCACAGTGGATCATGCCTGTAATCCTAGCACTTTGGGATGCTGAGGTGGGTGGATCACCCGAGGTCAGGAGTTCAAGACCAGCCTGGTCAACATGGTGAAACCCCATCTCTACTAAAAATACAAAAAATAGCTGGACATGGTGGCACACGCCTGTAGTCCCAGCTACTGGGGAGGCTGAGGCAGGAGAATCACTTGAACCTGGGAGGTGGAGGTTGCAGTGAGCCAAGAATTTGCCACTGCACCCCAGCCTGTGTGATAGAGTGAAACTCTGTCTCAAAAAAAAAAAAAAAAAAAAAAACTGGAACTTAAAAACAGTAGCAAAAATGAGAAAAACTTTGATGAGCTCATCAGTAGACATGACATGTCTGAAGAAAGAATTAGTGAGCCAGAAGATACATAAATAGAAACATTCCCACATGAAAAACAATAATATGAAAAACAATAATAATAATAATAATAAACAATATCAAAGAAATGATATTGAAAGCAGTAGCCTACCTGCAATTAGAATACCAGATGAGAAAAAAAATAAGAGAGAAAGAGAGAGAGGAAAATGCAGAAAGAAAGAGAGAAATGAGATGAAGACATATTTGAAGTAACAATTAATGAAAACTTTTCAAAAATTAATGACAGACATAAAACCACAGATCCAGGAAGCTTAGAGAACAGCCAGCAAAATAAAAACCAAAAGAAACATAGTTATTAATAAGACATAACTTCAGAAAACCAAAGGCAAAGAGAAAATCTCAAAAGAGGCTAGGGGTAGTGAATGGGAAACTACCTTATTTATAGAAGAGGAAGAATAAGAGTTACAGCATGCTTCTTGTCAGAAACCATGCAAGAGAAAGGAAAGTGGAGTCAAATTTTAAAGTTTTGCCAGAAATAAAATAATGAATAAAAACACCAACCTGAATTTCTATATCCAGCAAAATTATCTTTCAAAGTTTCAAAAGAATAAAGACCTTCACAATTGAAAGTTGAGGTAATTCATCATAAGCAGATGTACACTACAAAATTGGTTAAAGAATTTATGAAGAAATAAAATAATACAGTTTAGAAACTTGGCTCTGAAGCAAGAATCAAACAATATCAGAGAAGGATTACAAAGAGTATCAGAGAAGAATTAAATAAAGATAACATTATTTTATGTTAACTTATTCCTAGGTGATCTAAAAGATAACTTTAAATTAACAATAGTAATGAGCTAAATGATTTTTTACATACAAATAAATGAAATGTCACAAGAGACAGAAAAGAGAAATTGGAAATATGCAATTATAGCAGGCCTGCCCTGTACTCTTAAGTATGAACTGCACATAGTTACTGTTTCAAATAGTCCAGTATGGAAAGTGGAGAGAAAGAGTAACTTTATACTAAAGAAATCTGAAAAACACTACTTTAGCCAGTTGATGAAGGTTAACAACAAAAGTGCTAATCCACATTGAAAGTATGTTTCCGTTATATGGTACCATGAAATTGCACTTTATTTGTATGATTTTCCTCACCCAAACCCATAACCCCAGTCTAATCATGAGAAAAACATCAGACCATTTTCAATGGAGGGACATTCTTTAAAGCAGTTCAACTGGTAATACTCAAAACTATCAAGGTCATCAGAAACAAGAAAAGTCTGAGAAACTATCACAGCAAAGAGGAGCATAATAAATACAAGTAAGATGATATTCTGGATGAGGTCCTGAATAAGAAAAAGAATAGCGGGGAAAAACTAATGAAATCTGAATAAAATATGAATGTTAGTTAAATAATACATTAATATTAGTTCAGTAATTATGGCAAATGTACCATACTAATGTAAGATGTGAACAATAGTCCAAACTGGGTTTGGGTATGTATGAACTCTCTGTCCTATTGTTGTGACATTTTAGGGGACAGGTGCTTAATTCTTTGGATAGTTTATCTTTTTAAAATTGAATAACCAAAGATTTTAACTCAACAGAGATAATATGATAGCTCAACAAATTCACTCAATGAAAATAAAAGCATTTTGTCATGAGACCAATAGCAAGAGATTTAGGAAGACTTGAGCAGAGTTATTTATATTTGACAGATCACTTCATTATTTACCAAATATACTACAAAAATATGTCCCTTTCGTTCATTAAGATTTTTATGAGGAGTGTTCTTTTTTATTAGTTAATGAGATTAAAGAAAATTAGATAAAGCTATTTGTGTTTCATTGCTACTACATTACCTATAACGAACCTAAATTTTGCCAATCTTGAGTGAGCCAAAGTAAATGTGTAGAATGTGGTATTTGAAGAGTTTTGAATGTGAATTTTGTGCTCTGAGGTTCACAGAAAAGAGTTACTTAATTATTAGTATTTAATTCTACACTGTGGCCCAGCAATCATACAAATACACTATTTTGCTGATATTATAGACCTCACTTGGAAAGCAAATTTCTGTCCTAACTTCTAAATTCTTGAGCGATTTTTAGTTTTATCTACAAGTACTGGCAGTAGCTTATAATTTAAAATTATATTTGTTTTGTCAATATCAAAATATTAATTAAAATATTTAATTAAAATATTAAAACCATAGATAACGGAATTACAAAATTATGCATTGTCAATATTTTGTTAAAAAATAGATATCATTAGGGAAAATAAATGAAAAATAATGAGAACTAATGTAGGTGTATTAGTCTGTTCTCACACTGTTATAAAGACACACCTGAGACTGCTTGAGACTGGGTAATTTATAAAGAAAGACAAAAGATTTAACTGGCTTATGGTTCTGCAGGCTCTGCAGGAAGCATAGCAGTATCAGCTTCTGGCAAGTTCTCAGGGAGCTTTCACTCATGATAAAAGACAAAGTGGGAGCAGGCATCTTACATGGCAGGAGCAGGACCGAGAGAAAGTGAAGGTGCCACACACTTTTAAACAACCAGGTCTCCTGACAAGTCCATTATGAAAACAGCACCAAAGGGACGGTGCTAAACCATTCATAAAACATCCACCACCATGATACAACAACCTCCCACCAAGCCCCACCTCCAACATTGGAGTTACAATTGAACATGATATTTGGGTGGGGACAAAGATTCAAACCATATCAGTAGGTATTAAAGTTTTATTAACGTGATATTTAAATAACTAAGAAGTAAATAAAAAGAGAATTTCACCAGGAATAGCAATGCATTAAATATTAAATTTAAACGTGAGTATTGTATAATATAACTTTTTAAAAATCCATAAAAAATTTAACAGATTAGTCTTTACAGATTTGTTAACTGAAAATGATATCAATAGACAATATTCAGATAGACAGTAAAATGTCAGAAACATAAAGAACACATGAAAAATAGCAAAAAATCTGATATATTGCAA